>NC_000004.12:116042593-116194108 GCF_000001405.40 Homo sapiens
TTGAACTCCTGACCTCAGGTGGTCTGCCCACCTCGGCCTCCCAATGTGTTGGAATTACAAGTGTGAGCCACCATGCCCAGCCAAAGCTGGAGCTTCTTTACAATCACTTCTGGGTGTTTGCAGAAGCAACTAGGATTGAGATCACATTTCTATATTCATCTTACTGTTTGTCCTTGCTGAAAGCCAGGTACACAGTATGAATGTGCCTGGCCTCTCAGGCAGAGCCAGTCACATCAAGGGGAAGGAAGAGGCCCTAACAAGCCAGGTGGAAGCTGGCTTGGCTGATATACCCACTTGCTAGAACTGTGCACATAAAGTGTCTTTCCAAGACAGCTGCTTTGCCATGAAGTTGACCCACAGTGGAGGAAGAGCCTCCAAGTATATTTATTTCCATCTCCTCTTCGAGTTGAAGCCTGAGTTTCTGCAACTTTAAGGATATCACAGGGCTTTTAAAGAGATATTTTAATTACTTTTTGTGATTTAATCTTTTTTTTTTTGATGTAGGGATAATCTATAATGAGGCTTGATGTCTTTCTTCAATTTGCACAGTCCAGCAGAAATCAATGAAATTTGTGAATTGGGAAATGGAAAAATCCCTGTATTTTCCCTCTTAGGCCTCTCGGCCCATGATGAGAGGGGCTGCCATGAAGGTCTTTGACATGTTCTGGAGACATTTTCCCTATTGTCATTACATATGCAAATTTCTGCAGTAAGCTAGAATTTCTCCCCAGAAAATGGGGTTTTCTTTTCTGTCTTTTTTTTTTTTTTTTTTTTTTTTGCCTAAATCAACACATCTTTATTAAACACCTGCAGTTACTGGGAGGAGGCGATGATGCTGGACACACTGTCAAAGTCAATCTTCTCTAGAGTATTCTAGGGTTTAATGCTCTCTTCCTGGTTACAGATGAAGATCGGCCCTGACTCGTTAGCGCTCCAGCCATATTTGCTCATCTACACCTTTAGCTGGCTGGCTAACAGATCACCAAACATTTTACCAAGCAGCCAGCATCCCATGTGCTGGTAAGTGATACCCATGACATGGCAGATAAACTTTCAGACAGAGTCTTCAAAGCCGGTTATACCTTCCAACAGGACCATGTTTTCCTTGCCAGAAGGCCTGGAAGTGGCAAGTCTCCAGCAAGTCCCCGAGGTGCAAAATCTGTTGGATTGCCTGCTCTTCTTGTTGTGCTGGTGGATCATGCACGTGGACAGGGTGAAGTTGGTGTGCGGCAGGTGTTGAGGGCCTTCAGCAGGATCTGGGCAGTGACCGTGGTCTGAAAAAATGCTAGGTTGAACTGGTACAGCTTTAGGACAGCCAGGTTGTCTTCTAGATCATAGGCATTCTCCTTGGCCTGCGTCTCCATGTAGTGTTCCAGGGTGGCCAGGATTGTATCTGTTGATGTCCTTAACCAACTTGCCCCCATTGGCTCTCATTTGCTGAAATATGGCCATGACTACTGTCACCTTCCGCAACCAGGGCTGGAGGCTGACACTGGACCTGTATTGCATCCTCCAGGACTGGAAGGGGTGGGGTTTTCTTTTCTATTGCATCATCAGGCTGCATACTTTTCAAACTTTTATGCTGTGTTTCCTCTTAAATGATATGCAGTTTAGAAATTTTTCCCCACCATACCCTAAATCATCTCTCTCAAGTTCAAAGTTCCACAGATCTCTAGGGCAGGGGCAAAATGCTTCCAGTCTCTCTGCATGGCAGGAGGACCTGTACTCCAGTTCCCAACAAGTTTCTCATCTCCCTCTGAGAACACCTCAGCCTGGACCTTATTGTCTGTATCACTATCAACATTTTGGTTAAAGCCATTCAAGAAGTCTCTATGAAGTTCCAAACTTTGCCACATCTTCCAGTCTTCTTCTGAGCCCTCTAAACTTTTCCAACCACTGCTTGTTACCCAGTTCCAAAATTGCTTCCACATTGTCAGGTATCTTTACAGCAGTGCATCACTACCAAGTACAAATTTACTGTTCTCATGCTGCTAATAAAGACATACCTGAGACTGGGTAATTTATAAAGGAAAGGGGCGTAATTGACTTACAGTGCCCCAGGGGTAGGGAGGCCTCAGAAAGTTTATAATCATGGTGGAAGGGGAAGCAAACACATCCTTCTTCACATGGCAGCAGCAAGGAGAAGCGCAGAGTGAAGTGAGGAAATAGCCCCTTATAAAACCATCAGGTCTCATGAGAACTCACTCACTATCATGAGAACAGCATCATGGGGGTAACCAGCGCCATGATTCAATTACCTCCCACCAGGTCCCTCCCATGACATGTGGGGATTATGGGAATTAAAATTCAAAATGAGATTTGGGTGGGGACAAATCCACATTGTATTAGGTGCTATTCTCTAGACACTGGAAGCATCACTTCTGTAGGCCAACTGAGGTTAGGAAAACCTGGGCTTCATTGTTTCAAACACATTGACTGAGATATATACAGCCCCAAACTCAGGGTCACACAGCTTTCCTAGTAGGATGCTAACTTTGAAGAACAATTTTTACCAAGATGTGAATTATGAATTTAGCTTTTTCAGAAGTTCTTTTTTTATAATTAGTTTATAAAACTGATCTCCTGGCAGCACAGTCTGCTCTCTGAGATAAGAAGATATTGGTTTTCTGACAATCACAGTTAATTTGGGTATTGGCTTAGCTGAGTTCATCAATTTCCTGAAAGCACAGTTGTGCTAACGTGGACCATTCAATTTGACTATCTCACAATTTTCATACTTCATACCTCTCAATTCCGAGAAATATCACATGTCAGTGAACCTCTATCCACTTCATCAAATCTCAATTATATTTAAAGTTTTATCATTTGTAGTACAGCATGTTGACATATTCGACATTTTATTTAACCTTAAAAATATGGTTCCTATTGTGATCTGGTTAGTGGATAATCAAAATCAAAATCTATTGCACCTTAAAGGAAACAATGAACAGAGTGAAGAGACAACCTAAAGAATGGGAAAAATATTTGCAAACTTTACATCTGATAAGCAGCTAACATCTAAAATATACTCAACTCAGTAGCAAAAAAAAAAGTATACCTGTTTACAGAATGTACAAAGGATCTGAGTAGACCTTTCTCAATAAAAGAAATACAAATGGCTAACAGATATATGAAAAAATGCTCAACATCAATACTCATGAGAGAAATGCAAACTAAAACCACAATGATATATTGACATTTTACCTGTTTTTATCTGTTAGAATGGCTATAATCAGAAAGAAAAAATATGACAAATGTTGGCAAAGATATAGAGAAAAGGTAACCCATGCACACTGGTAGGAATGTAAATCATAGATTTCTTTATGGAAAATGATACAACAGTTCCATGAAAAATTAAAAGAAGATCTACTATATGATTCAGCAATTCATCTTTTGAGCATATAACCAAATGAAATGAAATCAATATATTGATTAAAGAATTCCACTCTTAATATTCACTGCTGAGATAATTTTCAGTACCAACTATCTTAGGTCATATTCCTTTGAAATGATTTGTTAAGGAAGTGTTTCCATGAAAAAATCAGTAAAGGGCTGGGGGCAGTGGCTCACACCTGTAATCCCAGCACTTTGGGAGACTGAGATGGGAGGATCGCTTGAGCCCAGAAGTTTGAGGACAGCCTGGATGACAGAATGAGACCCCATCTCCACACACACACACACACACACACACACACACACACACAATAGTAAAGGAAAAAATATAGCCAGGTGTGGTGGTACATGCCTGTAGTCCCAGCCACTCGGGTGCTGAGGTGGGAGGATCCATTGAGTTGGAAGGTCAAGGCTACAGTGATTGCACCACTGTACTCCAGCCTGGTGACAGATTGAGACACTGTCAAAGAGAAAGAAAGAAAGAAAAAGAAAGAAAGAAAGAAAGAAAGAAAGAAAGAAAGAAAGAAAGAAAGAGAAAGAGAAAGAAGGAAAGAAAGAAAGAAGAAGAAGGAAAGAAAGAAAGAAAAAGAAAGAAGGAAAAAGAAAGAAAGAGAAAGAGAGGGAGAGAGACAGAGAAGGAAGGAAGGAAAAAGGAAGGAAGGACGGGTGGAAGGAAGGAAGGAAGGATTAGTAAAAGAGTAGAGATGGTAGGACATAAAAATAGAGAAAGCTACACATGAAGGAAGGAAAGAAACAAAGAAAGAAACAGCAGCAAAGGAGTAGAGATGGCAGGACATAAAAATGGAGAAAGCTAGATATGGGGTGATCTCAGAGGAAAGCTTCACCTGGTCCTACAGGGTAATTATGAAATGAAAGCAGCCACAATAGTTGAAAAATGCTTTTATTGAAGTTTTAAAAATATTTCTTTAAATTATCAAAATGCAAAACAAAAAAAATTGAAAGATTAAAAATTGTAATATAGATATACAAAAATATATGTGTTATGTAGAAGAACAAAGTACAGAATATCCTTAAGGTGATATTATATAAACACTTCTCTCAATTGAAATTCAAAAACAGTCAAAATAATTGATGAATTATAAGTTTGAGGCTATTTTTCTTATTGATGTTTAGTTTATACACAGTCAAACTCAATATTTTTAGAAGTACCTTTAGATGAATTTTGACAAACATATACAGTTCTTTAATCATATAATCAATATGTAGAATGTTTCAATCAATGAAAAAATATCATCCACACACATTAGTTGCCATTCACTACTCTCTACACTCAGCCCCTAAAAACCACTAACCTTATTTCCATCCCTACAACATTGTAATTGTAGAGTGTCACAGAAATGAAATTATATGGTGTGTAGTTATTTGTGTCTGTTTTATTTTGCTTCACCCAGTTTATTTTATTTTATTGTTTATATTTACCATATGAATATATTAGAATGTATTCTCTCCCTTAATATACATGCTAGAAATTCATCCACAAGAACTATTCACAGCATGAAAACCATTCAGTTATGATGGACATTTGGGTTATTTTCATGGACTTTGAAAAATTGTGAATAATAACAATTCTAAACGTTTTGTGTTACTTTTTGTATGTAAACAAGTTTTTCTCCCCTTGGGTAAATTTAATTGCTAAGGCATAGGTGATTTTAGCCTTAAGGGATAAGTGTATGTTGAACACTATAAGTAAATGATTGATTGTTTTGTGGAGCAGCTATAAAATTCTCTGTATGTATGGATCTGTATGTATAAAAGAGAATAGAGAACTCAGAAACCCATGTAAAACGTTGGTTAACGTTGAGAGTTCTTTATATGTTTTAGAAATAAGTATTTTTTCATTGTTGATATCACAAGAATGGGAAAAAATGTTTGCCAACCCCAAACCTACAACAATGTTGTTTTTTCTTTTGCATTCTCTTTATATGGACTTTTGCAGAAAAAAATTTTCAATTTTGATGAAATGAAATTTAGATTGGTTTTCTTTTATGTATAGTTCTTTAAGTGTCATGTCTGAGAACCCTTCACCAAGATCTAGGTCCTGAAGATTTTCTCTGATGTTATTTCCTAAAAGTTTTGTAGGTTTGTATTTAAATTTAAATCTTTTTACCCAAGATTTTTATTATTTTTAATAAGATGTGAGATTTAAGTAAGGGTTTGATGGGGGAATGGCTAAGGATATTCAATTAATAAAGCACCATATGTTGAAAATGTTGTCCTCCATCCAATGCATTGATTTTTTACCTTTGTCCAAATCAGTTGGCTGTACTGAAGTGGCACTATTTCTGGGTTCTCTATGCTATTTTATTAATCTATGGGTCTATTTCTTCACCAATAACACATAGGATGACTACTATAGCTATATGGCTTCAATTCATGTAAATTGATTGTTTCCACTATATATTTTTTCAAAACTGTTTACTTTCAAGTTTTTTTTTTAATGTCTTTCCCTAAATGCTTTAGAAAAATCCTATTTATATCTAAAAAAACTTTCTGAGGTTTTAGTAGAAATTGTCTTAAATCTGTATGTCTATTTGAGTAGACTTGACATTTTGGTTATTCATAGTCTTCTGACCCATGAACACAGCATGTCTCTCCACTTATTTAGATCTTCTTTGATTGCTTCTATCAGTGTTTTGCAGTTTCTGAAATAAATATCTTTTAAATGTTATTAGGTTTACACCTACTAGTTTTTTTCGAGTATAATTATAAAATATTTGGAGTATTTCCGTTTTCTTTCTCCTACTGATTTCTAGGTTATTTCCATCACGTTCTAAACATATGCTTTTTATGATTCATGTTTTTAAAGTGCACTAAGTTTTTTGTATGGACCAACATATGATTTTGTTTTTGTTTTTAGTGAATAGTCCATGTATAATTAAAAAGAATAAGAACATATATTCTCCTGATGTTGACGTGTTTTACAATTATCAATTAGGTCAAATTGTTTAATGACATAGTTTGTTTCTTCTTTATGCTTACTGATTTTCTGTCCACTTGTTCTGTTAATAAGAAAGAAGTGTTGAAGTTTCCAACCATAATAATTGATTGGTTTATTTCTATTTCTAGTTCTGTGAGTTTTGGTACTTGTATTCTGTAGTTCTGGGCTATAGGTGCATTCACATTTGGGAGTTTTATGTTCTCTTGAAGAATTGACTGCATCATTATGTATTTCCTCTTTTTATCTCTAGTAATATAACTTTTTCTGAAGTGAGTTTTGAAGTATTAACTTTTAGTTCCTGGGTACATTACTAGAATATTCTATGTGTACAAAGTCATTAGTCATTGCAGGCTTACCATTTTTGTCAAGAATGTTTTTGTTTTGATTTTTGACGACTGATTGAATTTTAGTTTTTCCCAACCACTAAGGACAACATAATAATTATAAAACTAGTATTCAAACTTTAATAAATGTCTGTTAAATTATTTTCTATAGTAGTTTTTTATATATATACATTTATCTTGGGTAATTAGCACCTTTATAAATGTCAATTGTTTTAGATAGAAACATGGCACATCTTTCCTTTGTTCAAGTTTTAATTTAAATATTTTAGTACATTAATTTCCTTTATATAGCTAAAACATTTTGAAATATTTTGGTGTTTTTTGCATTCTTTTCAATAAAATTATTCCCTATTCATATTTTCTATTAAACTATTGCTTAAATATTTATGTTCCATAGACTTCTATCTTGTGGTAACTTACATCACAAATGTTTTTATTACATTTTCTTCTGTAGTGATCTAAGATTCTCAGACTTTCTACAAAATTCGATGTGCAGATATCTTATTTTTTATTGATAAGAGGTTCTTTAGAAATTAAATGATTAAGTTGTTCTTAATAATTCCCAATAAAAATATCTATTATAAAACAATATTAGCTTTATGTTGTTATGAGGCATTCCTTGTATTCTTAATAAAGACTCCTTAGATTTATTTTTTGAGTCCCTCTGTTCTTATAATTTATATATCCTGTCTCAGCATGTACTCTAATAAGTGCATGCTACATTTTAATAATACTTTTAGCCCTCTTGTTTATATTATGTATTCTTTCTCTCCTACTAAATAATTATTGCATTATTTAGGTAACTTTTACTTTAGTGGTGTAGCCTCATTATAGTTTTTTTAATTACCAATGTTATATCTATATTCATTCATAAGTAGTTTACAGGAATTGTTTTAAATTTTTATAATTGATTAATCAGCTTTGTAATAAACATTTTGCTAGTTTTATTCAATACATTATGAGTATTCTTTATGTTACTCCTGGAATAGTTTACTTAAGGATAGTGTGGTAATATGTTTATGAATCATCCATGCTAAAGATAATCTAAATTGTGAAGTTTTAATGTATTTCTTTGATATCTTTCAATTATTAACTATTAAGTATATTTTATTCACAGATTTTTGGACATTTCTATTTTTCTTTAGAAATGTGCCTATTTTATCAAGATGTTCAAAATTTAGAACATAGTGTTACTTTACTTTTAAAATTTCTATATATAGCACTACTGGTTTATTTCTTCTTATGTTCTCATACATATTTTTTCTAAGATCTTGTAATATTTTTGTAATTAAAAAAATAGCAATTTGTTTTTACATCCTCCTCTGCCTAAACACCCACAATGTTCTAACAAAATAAATCCACACTTGGTGTTTGCATTTAAGTTAGTTTTGAAAAATCAAGTTACAGTATTTATTTTTTCTTTCGCTACATTTTTTTTGTTTAATACATATAAATTACGCACTTTTAAAACTCTCACTCACATCACCACATGTAACCATGTGTAGAAAAACATAAATGTCCACATAAGTCACACTGGAGTCTAATTAAAATGATAGTCCTGTTATGATAGAGTAGTGCTCTTTACAGTAAATTATAGCATATGGTACAGGAAAGAAAAGGTGATTAATAGTACCTAATACTCTTTATAGTATACATATGCCCAGATACAGTCTTCCTCTTAAAATATATAGGTCCAATAATAATCTCTGTTGGTTATGAAGTGATAACTCCTTGTGGTTTTTGGACTTACATTTCCCTGATAGTGAGTGACATTGAGTACCTTTTCATAAACTCATTGGTCATTTGTATGTCTTTCTTTGAGAAATGTTTATTTAATTATTTAGTCTATTTTTAAATTGGTATGTTTGTTTTTATTCTATTGAATTATAGGACTTCTTTATATTTTTTAGGTATTAACCCCTTAGCAGATATATGATTTACAAATATTTTCTTCATTTTTATAGGTGAATTTCCATTTTGTTCATTTTTTCCTTTGAAGTGTAGAAAATGTTTTAGTTTGACATAGCTCCATTTGTGTGTGTTTGTTTTTGCTGTTTATGCTTTTGTTGTCATATCCAAGAAATCATTGTCAAGACCAATGTCAAGAAGATTTTCTCCTGTGTTTCCTTCTAGGAATTTTATTAATCCTTCACATATTATTGTTTAATTCATTTTAAGTTGATTTTTGTGTATGGTGTATGATGAGGGACCAATTACAAAAGATAACTTTTGTTTTTTTTAGACAGGGTCTTGCTCTGTTGCCCAGGCTGGTGTGCAGTGGCACAATCATAGGTCACTGCAGCCTCGACCTCCTGGCTCTAACGATCCCCCCACCTCAGCCTCCTGAGTACCTGGAACTACAGGTGTGCACTACCACACCTGGCTAATATTTTTATTTATTTATTTATTTTGTAGAGACAGAGTTTTACCATGTTTCTCAGGTTGGTCTCAAACTCCTGCACTCAAGAAATCTGCCCACCTCAACCTCCCAAAGTGCTGGGATTATAGGCATGAGCCACTGCACCTAGCCAGATAACAAATATTGTTGTGGATGTAGAGAAAAGGGAACCCTTATATACTGTTGATAGAAATGCAAATTGGTGCAACAACTATGGAAAAAAAGGATGGACGTTCCCCGCCAAATTATAAATGAAATTATTATATAATCTAGCAATCCCACTTCTGTATATACATTCAAGAAATTGAAATCACGATCTCAAAAAGATGTCTGCACTCCCATGTTCATTGCAGCATTATTCACGATAGGGAAAACATGAAAGCAACTGGAATGTTTATCAATGGATGAATGCAAAAAGAAAATACGGTATATACATACAATCGAATATTATTCAGTTTTTACAAAGAAGTAAATTCTACCACTCGCTACAACACGGATAAATCTGGAAGACATTATGCTGAGTGATATACACTGGAAAAAGAATGACAAATGCTACAAGATCCCATTTATATGAGAAAAATCTAAAATAATCAAACTCATAGAAGTAGAGGCTAGAATAGTGGTTTCCAGGGACTGAGGGGAGGGGGAAATGAAGATTTATTAGCCAAAGATTAAAAAGTTGCAGTTACACAAAAAGAGTAAGCCCTGGAGATCTATTGTATTGCATAGAGTCTATAGTTAACAATATCATTTGTATACTTAAAAATGTGCCCAGAGGCTAGATGTTATGTTAAATGTCCTTATCACTGTAATAATAACAACAATAACTGAAGAGTGTGGGAGAAAACTTTTGGAGGTAATGTATAAGTTTATGGCATAGATTGTGGTAATGATTTTACATATGCATACTTATCTCCAAACTTATCAAGCTGCATATAATAAATATTTATGTCTTTTTGTGTCAATCATACATTATTAAGGTGGTTTTAAAAATTAAAATAAAATATCTAAGTCCAAATTCATGCATTTAAATTTGTAAACATAAATAATATAGGTATATTTCTAAATATCAAAAATTCACTATTACTATTCACAGTGAATTAATATTAATAAATAAAATTCACTATTATTTAAATTTATTATCTAAATCTCTAAAATTCACTGTTATCCAGATTGATTCCCTATTATCCAGTTTGCCAATTCCTAAGTTATTCAGAAACAGATCTACTTCTATTTTTTCCTGAAATATCCAGATGTTGCAAGAAAACCTAAGTCTTTGCCATGAACCATCAATGCACTTGGACCTGTGCATACCGCAACATAAAATCTTTTAACAGATGCTTTTCCTCAGCTTTGTAGATTTTTCTTATTTGGATGCAAAGTATTACACATCCGGTTATAGAAGTGAGTCTTTCCTTTTGATTACAGGAAAAAATGTAAATGAAAAGAGATATTGGCTTTATGCCTTTATTTCTTGTACCATAAAATTATTTATTCATTAATATATTTATTTACTTCTAACTTCTTCTATAATCATGGTCATCAGCATAAGAATGTAAATTATATTTAGATTGCTGAATGTGTTCTTTTTTTTTTTTTGAGACGAGTTTTGCTCTTGTTGCCCAGGCTGGAGTGCAATAGCGTGATCTTGACTCACTGCAACCTCTGCCTCCCAGGTTCAAGCGATTCTCTTGCTCAGCCTCCCTAGTAGCTGGGATTACAGATGCCCGCCACGATGCCCAGCTAATTTTTTTTTTGTATTTTTAGTAGAGATGGGGTTTTGCCATGTTGGCCAGGCTGGTCTCGAACTCCTGACCTCAGGTGATCCATGAGCCTCGGTAGGTCTTCTAAAGTGCTGGGATTACAGGCGTGAGCCACCACTTCTGGCCATGTGTTCTCTTTAAATAAATCTCAGATACATTTTGAAAATATAGCTTTTATAAAGTTTAAAAGCAATTTTTTCATTGATAGATATTTTCTACTTCTTCATGTATAACTTTTACATATATCCAGACTCATCATTTCTTAATATAGTCTCACATTTTTCATATATTTTTAAAATTTCTCACCTTTTACCATTTAACCTCCCTCTCTCGTTGTGAAGTTCATATGTTTGTGTGTGTGTATACCCTAAAAACAAGAAGGACTAGCCAATCTACATTTCTAAAAGCATAGACAAAAACACAAGTCAAAATACTCCACCTTTTTTTCACAATCAGTATAAATTAAATTTATTACCTCTATAGATTTAAAATAGAAATTAGATGTAAATATAAATATAAATAAATGTAAAATTAAAGTGTATACTATGCACAGAATTAAATAAAAGATACTATAATATAGTGAAAATTAGAAAACTTTATAATACAGGGGAAATCAAATATATATGTAAATGTAGAATATTTGCAGTTCCAGAATAAGATACATAATAATTTATATGATATTTATGTGATTGGAAAATTATCAAATAAAGAAATTCTTGAAGGTTTTCAATAAACACCCACATCTACAGCCATTATGTAACGCTAAGTCATATTTTTGAATGCCCAGTCATATTGAAGAAGATTTTAGGAAGATTTTAAAGTGTTAAATATTTAAGTGATCACACAAAGGCTTATTTTTATAAGGATATTATGAGTCATTATTGTTGTTTGTATATCAACTGGAATGCTGACCTAAATTTTTCTCAATTAATTTCATAAACTTAAATATGTTCAAGAGACATGATGAGAGAAAAGCAAGCAATATAGAATAAAAAGAGATCAAGCTTTTGTGGTGAAGCAACTCAGAATGAATTATATTTTTGAAAACCTAGAAACTTTGTGACCTCAAGCAAGATAACACATATTACCTTCAGTTTGTTTATTTATTATTTATTAAAGTATGATTGTAATATGATACATAAATAATACTAGAAATTTTAAAAAGTACTATATTTATAAAGCATCAGAACCAGAAAAGGTTATTATAATTTGTCTCATTATAGCAATTGCAATATGAAAAGAAACTAGTCCTCAAAATAAATTACTTTACTTGTTTTATTCTATTTGTGGTGATAGATGTATTATGTTGATTGTGGTAATCATTTCATAATGTATAAATTTATAAAATTATCACATTTTATACCACAACTACATGTAATTTTTATCAGACCACAATAAAGCTTGAGAATGTAACATATACTTCAATAAATAAAAGACTACTATTAATAATATACATTTATTATTCCTATTTCTCCCTGTCATAAGAAGAATTTTGTAAGATTTGTTTAAAATGCATATTATAGCATGTTGAAATAATTATATTAAAAATCACGGTTTAAAATTTTTTCAGAAATTATTTAAAGAATAATTCCTGATTTATGGAGTAAATATAGAAAGTAATAAAATCATTAAATATACATTATTTTGGGACATTAAAAATAGAGAATAGTAGGTTCTTATCTGGGGGAACATACCTTTGTCCTTAGCCAAACATGCATGCAGATTTTACCAATATTCTAGTAAAAATAAATGGGTAGATATAGTAATAACAATTATATATCTGCTTGATATTTATAATTTACTCTAGGTTTATGTTAAAGTTAATAGTATCCCAGAGAGTGAAAGTAGACTTTTGGGTTAATTCATGTAATTAATCTAGAACATACTAAGGTTAAAAGCCTTTCTTCAGTTATCAATTAGAAGAGGTACCAAAATTGGCTGTTAACTAACCTAGTGTCCCAATACTTGTGAAGCACTCATTTACAAGCCACACAAACTAATGCTTTGTTGTTGACATATTTATATTTGCAATGATAATTAGTATACATATAATCTATTACCTTTACTTATTCTAGTTATAAAAAGAGCTACACTCATTTTGCAATTTGTAGAATAGATGCTATACGATGGAACAACAGTGTTTGCTTCAGTAGCACATATACTAAAATTAGAACCAAAACAACAGAATTATAGAAATCAATATGTACTGCTGAGAAGAATATCTTAATTATACTTTTTATAATGAACTAATTGTTTTCTAAAACTTAAATGACAATACAGCAGAAATAGGTTTAGATACACATTATTAAACTCTTAATATATACTTTATCATATGAAATGAGTTAACTAGTTAACCATTATTTTAAATTAATTTTGAATACCATATGTATAACATACATAAATAAATTAGTTTAAATTGTATATCACCATTATTTTGTTTCTTTACAAATTAGCTTTACAAACCGCAGCTCTCTGTATATTCAAGATAATACTGTTTAATTCATAATTACACTTTTGTAAGATGTATAATAAGAGCTTTTGAGGTGCAATTATACTTCCTCTTTAAATTTTGAAGATGTGATTTAATGTGTTTAATATGGAACCCTGGGGAACAGTGAAAATAATCAGAAGCCATCTGGCAATTACTGAAATAACTGAAGAAAGCAGAGGCTTGAGGAAATCATAACTTCAATTAATTTATTAGTATGTATTTAAAGAATAAAACTAAAAGTTATACATTAAAAAGATGATGTGCATTCCATAGAAGAAAAATGTTTTTAACGTGCAGATATTGGGATCATATTTACAATTTAAAAAAAATTGATTCCTTTTTAATTACACAAAAATAGCAAAATGATTGAAACTACTTGTCTCCAATTTTAAATGAAGTGACATGAGTTTTTCCCACATATTTTAAAAATAAAATATACTTCAAGTTAAACACACTACTCTGAAAAAAAAAACTAGGTCAGCAATTATTCTTAGCCATATTTGTCATTAATTTTTTCCCGATTTAATATTTTATTTATGGAATATTTAGTGATTGTTCAGAATTTATGCCTATGGCATTTTCTTGAATGAAAAGTACCTGCTTTAAAACTTAGAACTGAAGAGAATCAGAAAACAAAAACAATGATTTATATATTAAAAAAATCAAACACTTTAGGCCACAAGATGTCACTGTAGTTCAAGTAAGGTGTGGTTTTTTATGCAATTAAGCAGAAAAAAGGGTACACTGTACTTAATTTATATATTTAATCTGTTTTTTATTTATTTTAGATACTTTGTACTGGGCTATAAAATGAAGTTAGAACAAGAAATAATTTATAAAGGGAGCAAATTTCATTTGATTTTCTCACAGTCAGAGTGAGAGATGTTAGAGAAAATGTCAATTCTTCAATGTTTTTGAGAAAAGAATTGCAAAGAATAATTACAATAAGAACGAGTAAGTTCCATCTTTTTTTTTTCCTTTCCTTTTTTTTTTTTTTCTTTTTGAGACAGAGTCTTGCTCTGTCACCCAGGCTGGAGTGCAGTGGCACGATCTCAGCTCACTGCAAACTCCACCTCCCGGGTTCATGCCATTCTCCTGCCTCAGCCACCCGAGTAGCTGGGACTACAGGTGCCTGCCACCACTCCCAGCTAATTTTTTGTATTTTTAGTAGAGAGGGGGTTTCACCGTGTTAGCCAGGATGGTCTCGATCTCCTGACCTCGTGATCCGCCTACCTCAGCCACCCAAAGTGCTGGGATTACAGGAGTGAGCCACTGCGCCCGGACAATAAGTTGCTTGTATTTTAGCCTGAGATTTTATTTCTATCAAATAACATTATGTTCTAGGCATGGGCCCAAGATTATTCTGCAGGGATTCATATCTTTGTGATTTACTAACTGTATGGTAGACCAACCTATGCCATTCACCGGTAAAATGGGAATAATAATGGTAAAATACTTCATAGGGCTATCATGGTTTGCATAAAAATGCTTACATCCAGGCTTTAATATGAAATTAATTTTTAATACATGTTATCTATTATTAGAGAAACAAGCAAACCTATATGGTATAACCACCTTCATTTCTACGTTTAGAAATATATATATTTGCCAATGTTACTCAGCCATTTATTAGTAAAATAAGAAAATGCCATACATGATACATCAAACCCTACTTTATCTCTTCCAGAAATAATTTCACAGGACAACTTCCATTAGACTGACATCAGGATCCTGAAATAATTTTATTATAAATATTATTTTCCCCATTATGTTTTCTTACATCTATTATTTTATCACTACTTAATACAGTAATATTTTAATTCTGTACATGTTGAAATTACTTTAACTTATTATATATTATATAATATGGTTATATAGAATCTTGTGAAATAACACATGTGCCATTTCTTAGATACCTAATATTGTAAATGTGCTTATTATCAGGCCAGTGCAGTTGAATGGTAAAAGTATTATTTTTACAATTACCTCTCTGATATTTTTTCTACTCTTTTATCCTCAGTAAAGCTCTGAGTGGAAGACTAAATAATACTTTCTTTATACCAGATTCACGAATTAGTATCTTCAGACTCCTAGGACTCTGCCTGTGTAAGAGGGTGACAAAGGAAGACAGAGATTAGAAAAATGATGGTATTGTATTAGTCCATTTTCACATGGGTATAAAGAACTGCCTGAGACTGGGTAACTTATGAAGAAAAAGGTTTAATTTAACTTAAGCTTTATGAAGGTTAAGTTACCTTCATAAAAGTAAATTATGAAGAAACAGTTCCACAGGGCTAGGGAGGTCTCAGGAAACTTATAATCATGGTGGAAGGTGAAGGGGAAGCAAGCATGTTCCTCACATGGCAGCAGGAGAGAGAGAGCGGGTGAAGAGGGAAGTGAAACTTTTAAACCATCAGATCTGGTAAGAAGTCACTCACTACCATGAGAACAGCATGGGGGATACCATCCCCATGATCCAATTGTCTCCCACCAGGTTATTCCCTCAGCATGTGAGGATTACAATTTGAGATGAGATTTGGGTGGGGACACAAAGCCAAGCCATATCATTCTGCCCATAGCCCCTCACAAATCTCATATCCTTTTTACAATTCAAAACCAATAATGCCTTCCCAACAGTCTCCCAAATCTTATCTAATTCCAGAATTAGCTCAAAAGTCTAAGTACAAAATCTCATCTAAGATAAGGTAAGTCCCTTCCACCTATGAGCCTGTAAAATAAAAAACAGGTTAGTTACTTCCAAGATACAATGGGGGTACAAGCATTGGGTAAATGTTCCCAATACAAATGGGAGAAATTGGCCAAAACTACGGAGCTACAGTACCCACGCAAATTCAAAGCCTGTTAGGACACTGATTAAATCTTAAAGATCCAAAATAATCTCCTTCGACTCCATGTTTCACATCCAGGGCACGCTGAAGCAAGGGGTAGGCTCCCAACGCCTTGAGCAGCTTCAACTCTGTGGCTCTGCAGGGTTCAGCCCCTGCAGCTGCTTTCACAGGCTGGAGTGAGTGCCTGTGGCTTTTCTAGGCACACGGCACAAGCTGTTGGTGGATCTACAATTCTGAGATCTGGAGGACAGTGGCCTTTTTTTCATCAGGCAGTGCTCCAGTGGGGACTCTGTGTGGGGGCTCCAACCCCACATTCTTCCTTGGCCTTGGCCTAGTAGAGCTCCTCCATGAGAGCTCCACCCCTGAGCAGACTTCTGCCTGGACACCTAGGAATTTCCATATATCCTCTGAAATCTAGGCAGAGACTCTCAAAGTTCAACTCTTGTCTTCTGTATACTGTCAGGCCCAACACCATGTGGAAGCCACTGAAACTTGGGGCTAACACACACTGGGGCAATGGCCTGAGCTTACCCTGGCCCCTTTTAGCCATAGCTGGAGCTGTAGCAGCTGGGACCCAGAGCACCACATCCTGAGGCTGCACAGAGCAGCAGGGCCCTGGGCCTAGCCCACCAAACCATTTTTCCTAGACTTCCAAGCATGTGATGGGAGGGGCTGCCATGCAGATGTAAGAAAACCCTGGAGACATTTTTCTCATTATCTTGACTGTAAACATTTGGTTTCTCCTTACTTACGTAAATTTCTGCAGCTGGCTTGAATTTCTCCCCAGAAAATGGGTTTTCCTTTTCCATCACATGATCTGGCAGTAAATTTTCCAAGGCTTTATGCTCTGTTTCCCTTTTAAATATAAGTTTCCATTTCAAATTATGTCTTTGTGAATGCTTATGACTCTATACTTTTAGAAAAAGCCAGGTGACCTCTTGAACACTTTACTGTTTAGGAATTTCTTCCATCGGATACCTTAAATCATCCCTCTCTGGTTTAAACTTCCACAGACCTTTTCCGCTGTTGACAGGGGTAGAATACCACCAGTTCCTTTGCTAAAGCATAGCAAGGGTAACCTTTGCTCCAGTTCCCAATAAGTTCCTCATTACCATCTGAGGCCACCTCATTCTGAACTTCATTGCCCACATCACTATCAGCACTTTGGTCAAATCCATACAATAAGTCTCTAAGAGATTGCAAAGTTTCCTTTATCTTCTTGTCTTCTTCTGAGCCCTCCAAACTGTTTGATTGACTCACAGTTTTCTATGACTGGGGAGGCCTCAGGAAACTTACAGTCATGGTGGAAGGTGAAGAGAAGGCGAGCACCTTTTTTACATGGTGGCAGGAGAGAGAGACCAAAGGGGAAGAGCCCCTTGTAATACCATCAGATCCCATGAGAACTCACTCACTATCATGAGAACAGCATAGGTGAAACCACCCCCATGATCCAATCAGCTCCCATCAGGTCTCTCCCTTGACACATGGGGATTATCAGGATTATAATTTGAGATGAGATTTGGTGGGCACTCTGAGACTGTAGTAGGTATGTTCAGGGAAGGGCTATTAGAAGCAATTAGTTTTACCATTCATTTATCCTAATGTGAATTCCAGAAGTCAGTGATCACACGGAGGCATATATACAACAAGCACACACATACGCACACATGTACATACACACACCATAAAAGTAGCAATATTGTGCCTTGGCCACTGAATGAGTAGTCAATTATCAACTGATGTTTGAAGGATTCAACCTGAAACAACTAGGCTAAGGGAAACAAAAAAAGAACAAGCTTATGATCCAAGTAACGATGATCCTGCACATACTTGTTATATTTTTAGATGATCTGCTGAGGTCAATAAAATTTTTAGTGTTGGAAAATGTTTAAAATGATTCTTTTAGAATCACCCTAAGGATTAGTTGAGGATCATAGCAAAAATGCTCTGATCCTGACTTCTTGCCTCAGGAGTTTCTAGGTTGAAACATTAAAATAATAATTTCCTAGGAGTTAGATGATCCAAATGTAAAATGGAAGGGACTAAGCCAAATGTTTCCAGTTAGAAATATTTTGCTCACTAGATGGCTTTAACACTAACTAGTTGGATGACCCTAGTTATGTTATTTAAGAGTTTAAGCTATACACTTCACAAACCTGAAAAGTGGATAAATTTTGTCTTTAGGTTTCTTACATGTATTTATTATATAATATACTTAAAGTGTAGAATATAGTTTCTACCATTAAAATGATCATTAAATGATACTATAAATAATGTTAATGTTTAATTTTCTTAACTATATTTGCAGAATGCAGCACCTAACAGTATATTAATAAATATCAACAGAATCTTGACATCTGTTGTATTCTATTGTATAAATGTTTTAAGTGACTATGTCTAAAAATTAAAGTAAAATAAAGTGTATATAGAGGAAGGCTACATTTGCCTCCTTACTTATATCTTAGGAAAGTTAGAAAATATTTCAAATGCTTGTTAGTGTAGGTCATATGAAAGTTTTTTTTTTTTTAATTAAATCCTACAACAAATATGACTGTCATGAGGATTTCCTAAGGAAAAAATTATGTAGGGAACATTCAGCTACTGTGTGACTGATAAAAAATATACTTGGGGTAAATAAACAGGAATCTCTCTTTTTCCTTTTGCAATTTCACTGCTTGAATAAGTAACTATTTTTCTTTATATTCTTATCTTAGCCTTCCATTATACTTATTGACATCCATAATACCTGCACTTCCAATCACTATGAGAAATGAAAATTTCCCAAAACAGATATTAGATTGTACAGCATCATTTATAGTCATTTTAAACATAATCTTTGTGCTTCAATTTAACAACTTATATTAATTTTTAATGAAATTCCTTAGGAATATAAGTTTGCAATAACAACAGCTATATGGAAAAGTAATATTCCTCTTCATAAAACAATTTAAGATTTTAAGTAGATGGAAAAAAAAAACCCTGGTTTAAATTTAAGGTGACCATTTAAAATACTTTATAATACTAACTGAAGTTTTAGAGTAATTTTAATATTTTATTTCAATTAATATACAATTATTGTTTCATAATATTGCTTAAATTAATAACAATGTGCATATATTACAGTGGTCTCATAATATTATAATACTATATTTTTACTATACCTTTTCTATGTTTAAATATACAAATACTTATTATTATGTTACAGTTGCCTACAGTATTGAGTACAGTAACATGCTGTGCAGGTTTATAGCCTAGGAACAATAAACAATGCCATATCCTACATTTGTACTAGGCTGTACCATCTAGGTTTGTGTAAGCATTCTCTATGATGTTCCCACAAAGACAAAATTGCCTAACAAAGTCCTTTTCAAATTGTATCCCCATCTTTAAGTGACACAAGACTGTAATTGCTCTATATAAATGAACTGAAAGTTTCAATGGAAGGAATAAAGGATATAAGAAAAAAGGTTTAGGACAGATGTGTTGTTTCCATTAATGCCAAGATCACTATACTTGATGAGCAATTAAAGTAACAGCAGATGGTGGAGAATTAGGGAACTATAAGAACAAAAACAGTATTAAAAGAGAAGAACTAATGCAAAGTTCCGTAATTCTCATTATTCTCTAAAATTAACTTTCTTTTTAGTCTAATGTATATATTCCTTCATATCTAACTGTTAAAATCAAGGACTTAAAATAGTAGCAATCAATAAAGCTGAAGTAATATGATTCAAAGATAGCCAACCTTACTGAATTATTTTCTGTAAGTCATCTGTTAGCATACATGTACTTCTATTAATGAACCCACTATATAAGGCAATTTTTTTCAGCTCTTGTCTTGTAGAATTTAGGTTAATGTCTCCATCTCTAAGATGTAACATAAAGGACATTATTTTGTGGAAACTACCAGCTAGGGATAGTGAGCTGAGAAGGGATGGAGAGATGGGCTGAGAAAATTTATTTGAACATTCAAAGCACAGAGAATCAAAGGCAGACATGATTCAGGTTGGTGATAGTCTCCCAAACAAGCACTATTTTCTTTCTTTTAATTTTATCAAGTTTTAAAATATGCCCTCTTTTCTCTCTTCTGTAGTGTTCTTCTCATAACTTAGCAGAGTTAAGATTAAAGTTTTTTTTATAGACTATGTCCAGGACCATATGCAGTTTTCAACTGTAGAGCAAATGATAATAAAAGTATCAGCTACCATATGGTAAGCAGGGTATTAAATTTTTTATATATTTCTGTGAAAAATATCATGTTTATAAGAACTCAGTAGTGTGACCTGTAACTTATAACTGGGTTATATGCCCTTACCCTTAGTTTATTTTAATTAAACAAAAGCATTATATAGTAAATGAATAAATTCATTATATTTTTTCCTCAAATAAATTAAATCTATATTTTAAGAAAATCCAGTAGCCACATTTACCAGTTCGCATCTTTCTGAATATGTCTTTTGGTAATTATTAGGTTTAGAAATTTGAGACAAACACTTTTCAATTGATTATCATGTGATTATTTCAGTTATCTGATGATGTATAATTAATTACTGGTTCAACACAATGATTTATTTCTTCATCGTTCTCCACTTTGGGTTGGATTTTCCATAAATGGATTGTTGCTGCTCCGTATGATGTTGTGATGTTGGCTGGCAGACATGTGCCTACATTCACACATCTGCCATCTCAGCTGGATTGCTGCTGGAATGACTGAGGGTTGGCTAGACCTCTCTTTTCATGTAAGTTGTCGTTCATTCTGTGGTCCCTATAAGTGGTCTTACTCTTCACTAGAAAGTCAGAATTCTTTACATGACAGCTGACTGACTTCTAAGAGGATAGATATAAAGGAAACTGCAACGCATCTTAAAACCTAAGCCGAGATCACACAACGTCATTTTCACACGTTCTGTTGGTCAAAAGATATTTCCAGGATAGGCCAAATTCAGTGGGACAAATAATGTTTTTTTTTTCTTTTGACAAGAAGAACAGAACAAAAACACAAGTATGGGAGTAATTGATAATTACTGCAAAGTTAATGTACTATAAGCCTCAATATATAAATTTTAATGTATTTTACATTGGCATATACTTTGAGAATAATAAAACATTTTTGTCTGCAAAAAAACTGCACTTATTTTCTTCTGCCATCTCATTTCCTGATACTCCACACTGACTTATATTCTATTGTTTCTAATGTTCTTAGTTGTGTAGGGGTCATTACTGAACTTTCGTAGGTGCTATTAGAAATTTTCTTAGTTTCATCTGTATAGTTTTTCATATACAAATTTTAATTGCCATTGGAAGACAATGATGGACTTTATTTTATAAGAAACAATTCACACAGGTGCTATTGCAGTTGTTTCTATGTTTGTATATAAAGTTTATGATTACTCATGAGATCAACACCAGTACAGAAGTGGAGGAAGCATAATTGAGCAGAGGAGAGATTTAGCTGCCATATTGCTGCACCAAGACTCAGCAGATACTATGAAGAGATCAAGAGTTGAGATGGCTTTTTAGACTTATCTTGAATTTAGGCAAGCTAGCTCAAATTATTTACCCCTGCAACAGTTGTCATTATGTGTAATCTTTCTTGGGCAAAAAAGCTGTCTTCAGTTGAAAAGAGGTTCCAAGGAGAGACTCAAATGAGAGCTATTGTCTGCGAAGACTTCCAACAAATGGGAAACACATGTTTCATTCCTTAAAGGGGAGATATTCTCCTGGGTCATACACCACATATGTGTACTACAGGAACAAATAGTAAGCCTGAATAATTGATCTAATGTGTGTAATGAATTGGCATATATTTGTTTCATTATATTGCATTGCCAATACTAGTGACATAAGATACCAAAAATAGCACATCCATATAGAAATGTAAGCGAATAAAAATCTTGAACTATGAAGATGGCTTATTTCTTTGAATGAGTGTTTATCCATAATACTAACATTAAGAAGATCTTCAAAATTATCTTGAATTTAAGCAAGATAGCTCAACTTTTTAAGGAGAAGATTAATATCTAATTTTTTCTTGCTGTTTGTGGCTGTGACTTCCTGGTAAGTAGTAACAGGAAAAAAAAACAAAGCTCATTTTACAAAACTGCATTCCATAATTCAAAATTGGTTATTCTACTTGTATAAAGCTTCACTGAGGTCAAAATATGAGGAAACTATTTATTTCACAAACAAATAAATTCCATTTATATAAGGCCAAGGTTTTTCAGTAGATATAAGATAGCAAAGCCTATATTTTCTTTGTTATACATGCTTTGCTATTTTTTATGATTTAGTTTCTATTAATTAAATAATAAAAGTATAATTACGTTAAACACATGAGCCAGCTTAAGTATGATGCTAATCTTATAAAATGTTAATAATATCATATTTTGAAAATTACTAGAATAGAAAAAGTGGCTTCTTTAAAATAAATAGAAAAATGAATAATAGTTATGATGTACTTTTATCTTCCATAAATAATGCAGTTCATTAAGGCATTACTTAAGAAAAATTAATTTATTAAATACCAATAGCTAACATCATATTTACTACAGCTAACATCATATTTAATGATTAAAGACTAAATGCTTTCCTCCGCTGATAAAAAATAAAGCATGTGCTCATCTTCAATACTGTTATTCAAAACAGAACTAGAAATCCCAGTTAACATATTTCAGAAAAAAAGAAAGAATATTTTTTTAAAAAGTCATACATATTAGAAGGAAAAATGAGTATGGCATATATTTCCAGGTTATAACATGGTCTACATAGGTTACCTCAAAGAATTTGCCTACAAATACTAGAATTAATAACTTCAGTTATCAAGGCCACAAGTTACAAGATAAACACACAAAAATTAATTACATTTCTATACATTTAAAATGAACCTATGGTTTATTAAATTTAAATTTATCAAATCATTTAGATTCTCTAAAAAAGATGAAATATTCAGGTATAATCTAACAAAAAGTACATAGAATTTGTATACTGAAAATTGTATAACACTAACAGAAGAAGTCAAAGATCTTAATAAATGGAGAAAAAGTTCATGTTTATAAAACTAAATTTTATTTATAAAAAAAGAATAAAGTAGGAGAAATTACTCTGCCTAATATTAAGGCCTACTATACAACCACCATAACACATACTGTGTGGTATTGGTGATGGTATAGACACATAGATTAATAGAACAATATAGAAAACCCAAAAACAGGCCCATAGAATTGCAGCCAAATGAATTTTGGCAAAGCTACAAAAGAAATGTAATGGAGTAAATGTAGCTTTTCAACAACTAGTCCTGGAGTAACTGTATATCCATAGGAAAAGCAAAATAAAACAACCAAAAACCTCCCACAAAATTTAACTTAATCCTCACACTTTACAGCAAAAATTATAGAATCAAATGTAAAAAATACACCTATAAAACTTTTAGAAAATAACATGAAATAAAATTTTCTTGGCATAATAATAATTGGTGAGAAGTTATGTCTAATGATGACATGAAAAGATTGATTCAGAGACCTTTGAAGGAAGTAGCTTGCTGCTGCAGGTTCTGTGAGACAGCCAAAAAACTGTTGAGTGCCCAAAATGTGTGTGTGGGGGGTCGGGGGGTGAGAAGGGGATGTCCACTCATGAACACACACCCTCTCTGAGTAACCCAAAGATCCAGATCACGGGAGAAGGATTTGCTCTTACCTGGAGCTGAGATGAATTTAGACAGCTGAGCAAAATATAGGGTTAGAGGAAGCAGTGTGAAGAGTCCTGTGGACAGTCTCGGTCCCCAAGGAGCTACTCCTGATTTTGTCTCACGGGGGTCCCAGGGAAGGGCTGTCAGTGGAATTGGGAAAAGACCACAGGGAGAAAAAAACCTCCAGCTGAACTTTGTAACAATTTTCACCAAATATGAAGTTTCATGGACAGAATCCAGGAGAGAGAGTGAAGGGGGAGTGCAGATGCCAGCACAGAAATCACAGCAGGCAGGGAGGAGCAAAACCTAAAAGCCCCTGTTTGCTTTCTCAGGTGGGAGGCTTGTAGCTGGCAGCAAGTTCTCAGTCCTGCTGACTGCCTGGAAATAAATTTAGTGCTGTTGTCGGGGGTATGGTGCGAGTGAGACTGCCTTATCAGGCTGCGGGGGAGCTAGGTGACATATCTCCATCAACCTGAGAACCACACCCCATCCCCCACAGCAGCCACAGCAAGCCCAACACAAGTAGAGTACAAGCTCAGACACACCTAACCCCGCCTCCATGTGATGGTCTTTCTCTACCCACACTGGCAGCCAAAAACAAATGACGTAATTTCCTGGGAGCTCTGTGGCTCTGCCCACTGCCTGATAAACTTATTCAGGCAACCCTGTTGCAGCTGATGCTCTTGAAAGTGCTACCTCCTGGTTGGAGGAAAACCAACAAAAAACCAGCACACTAAACAAAACTACAAACAACAGTCCAGAGCCCAGTAGCTCCACTGGATGGTGACACCCAGGAGAGAAAAAACAATCACTGAAGTTTGGCAAGTTTGGCAAGAAACCCCAGCTCTAGAAGAAGAGAGAGAGCACTATATCATGGGAGCACCCTGTGGGACAAAAAATATCTGAACAGCCCTTGAGCCCTAGATCTTCCCTCTAACATAGTCTACCCAAATGAGAAGGAATCAAAAAAACAATTCTGGTAATATGACAAAGCAAGGTACTTTAACACCCCCAAAAGATCACACGAGCCCACCAGCAATGGATCCAAACCAAGAAGAAATCTCTGCATTTCCAGAAAAAGAATTCAGAAGGTCAATTATTAAGCTACTCAAGGAGGAACCAGAGAAACATAAATACCAACTTAAAGAAATTTAAAAAAAATGATGGAGGATATGGATGGAAAAGTATCCAGAGAAATAAATAGCATGAATAAAAACATCACAATTTCTGGAAATAAAGTACATTTAGAGAAATGCAAAATACACCGGAAAGTCCCAGCAATAGAGTTGAACAAGTAGAAGAAAGGACTTAAGAGCTTGAAGAAAAGGCGTTCAAATTAACCAAATCCAACAAAGACAAATAAATAAATTAAAAACAATGAACAAAACTTCCAGGAAGTTTGGGACTGTGTTAAATGACCAAATATAAGGATAATTAGCCTTCCTTAGGGAGAAGAGAAATCTAAAAGTTTGGAAAACATATTTGAAGGAATAATTGAGGAAAACTTCCCTGGTCTTGCTAGAGATCTAGACATCCAACTACAACAAGGTCAAAAACACCCCAGAAATTCCTTGCAAAAGATAATCACCTAGCACATAGTCATCAGGTTATCTAAAGTCAAGACGAAAGAAATAATTTTAAGAGCTGCAACACAAGAGCATCAGATAACCTAAAAAGGAAAGCCTATCAGATGAACAGCAGATTTCTCAGCAGAAACCCTACAAGCTAGAAAGGATTAGGGTCCTATCTTTAGCCTCCTTAAACAAAACAATTATCATCCAAGAATTTTCTATCCAGCAAAACTAAGCTTCACAAATAGACACTCTAACGTCATACCTCCTCAAGGAACTAGAGAAATAAAAACAAATCAAACCCAAACTCAACTGAAGAAAAGAAACAACAAAGATCAGAGCAGAACTACATGAAATTGAAACAAAAAAACACCAAAGATAAATGAAACAAAAAGCTGGTTCTTTGAAAAGTTAAACAAAATTGATAGATCATTAGCAAGATTAAAAAAAGAAAAGAAGAGACTGTAAACACAGCACTTTGGGAGGCTGAGGCCAGGAGATCGAGACCATTCTGGCTAACACGGTGAAACTTTATCTGTATTAAAAATACAAAAAATTAGCTGGGCATGGTGGCCGGAGCCTGTAGTTGCAGCTACGCGGGAGGCTGAGGCAGGAGAATGGCGTGAACCCGGAAGGCGGGAGCTTGCAGTGAGCCTAGATCGCGCCACTGCACTCCAGCCTGGGCAACAGAGTGAGACTCCACCCACCACCCCTACCCTCCACAAAAAAAAAAAAAAAAAAAAAAAAGAGAAAAGAAAAGAAGAGAGAAGATCCAAATAAGCTCAATTAGAAATAAAATGATAAATATTACAATCGATACCACAGAAATACAAAAGATCATTCAAGCCTTCTATGAAGGCCATTACGCAGACAAACTAGAAAACCAAGAGGAGACAGATAGATTCCTGGAAATATACAACACCCCTAGATTAAACCAGGAAGAAATAGAAGCGGAACAGACCAATAACAAGCAGTGATATTAAAATGGTAATTTAAAAATTGTCAGCAAAAAAAAGTCCAGGACCAGATGGATTCACTGCTGAATTCTATCGGACATTCAAAGAGGAATTGGTACCAATCCCATTGACACAATTCCAAAAGATAGAGAAAGAGGGAATCCTCCCTATGTCATTCTGTGAAGCCAGTATCACCCTAATACCAAAACCATGAAAGTACATAACAAAAAAAGAAAACTACAGACCAATGTTCCTAATTAACATAGATGCAAAAATCCTCAACACAATACTAGCTAACTGAATCCAACAGCATATCAAAAAGATAATCCAGTCCTGGGCTCAAGTGATCCTCCCTCATCGGCCTCTCAAAATGCTGGGATTACAGGCATGAGCTACCATGCCTCTTCCTCTAGTAATAAATTTAACCAAAGAAGTAAAAGATCTCTACAATAAAAAGTACAAAAAAATGATTAAAAATGGAAGAAGGCACTAATAAATGAAAAAATGCCACATTTATAAATTGAAAAATATAATATTGTTAAAGTGTTCATACTATACAATAGACATTGAATCTACATTTATTACAATCCATATCAAAATACCAATGACATTTTTTACAGAATTAGAATGAAAATCCTAAAATTTTCATGGAACCACAAAATACATTGAATTGTCAAAGCAATATTAAGCAAAAAGAACAGAATTGGAGGCATCACACTATATATTACAAAGCTATAATTACCAATACAAAGTTATGTTACAAAGTGTATTACAAAGCTACAGTAATACACTTTACTTCAAAATATATTGTAAAGCTTATAGTAACCAAAAAAACTTGTATTTATATAAAAATCGACACATAGTCTAAAAGAACAGAATAGACATCCCAGAAATAAGTCCACATATTCACAACCAACTGATTTTTGACAAAGGTGCCAAGAACATACATTGAAGAAAGTCTTTTTAATAAATGGTTCTGGGAAAACTGGATATCCACATGCAGAAGAATAAAACTAGATCTCTCCCTCTCACCACTTAATAAAATAAAATCAAAATGCATTATAGATCTAAAGGTAAGACTCAAAATTATGAAACTACTAGAAGAAAACACTGAAGAAATGCTTCATGTCATTGGTGGGGACAATGATTGCTTTGAGTAAGACTTCAAACAGCACAGGTAACAAAAGCAAAAATAGGCAAATGAAATTACATCAAACTAAAAAGCTCCACAATGAAGAGACAATCTAAAGAATAGAGAAAATATTCAAAATCTGAGTATCTGACAATAAGTTAATCTTCAGAATATGTAAGGAACCTAGACAACACAATAGCAAAATCAATAATAATCTAATATAAAATTAAAAATATATCTGAATAATTTTCTCAAAAAAAAGTACAGCTGACCAGCAGGCACATTTTAAAAAGTGCTCAACATTGCTAGTCATCTGGGGAATGCAAATGATAACCACAATGAGACATCACCACACCCTAGTTGAATGACTATCATAAAAAAACAGGCAAATGCTGGTGATGCTATGGAGAAAAAGGAACTCTTCTAAACTGTTTGTGGGAATATAAAGTAGTACAACCATTGTGGACAATAGTATGAAAATTCTTCACAAAACTAAAAGTAGAACTACCATATGATCTAGCTACCACACTACTAGATATATCCAAAGGAAATTAAATCAGTATGTCACAGAGATATCTACATTTCCATGTTTATTGCAGCCCTGTTCTCAATAGCCAGGATATGGAATCAGCCTAAGTGTGCATAAAAGGATGAATGAATTTTTAAAATGTGGTATATATAAATATACAGAATGTTATATTATTCAGCCATCAAAAATAATGAAATCATGTTATTTGCAACAAAATAGATAAACTTAGAGGACATTTTGTTAAATGAAGTAAGCCAAGGACAGGAGGACAAATACTGCATAATCTTACTTACATGTGCAATCTAAAAAAGTTGATCTAATGGAAGTAGAGAGTAGTATCGTGGTTACCAGAGGCTGGGGAGAATAGAGGAGAAGGGGGTATGAGGAGAAGTTGATCAATAGGTACAAAGTTATAGTTAGATTGGAAGAATAAATTTTGATGCTGGATTGCGTAGTAGAGTGAACATAGTCAACAATAACATATTGTTATTTCAACATAGCCAGAAAAAGGGTCTTGAATGCTCTCACCACAAAGAAATGACAAGTGTTTGAGGTGACGGATCTGCTAATTACCCTGACTGGATCATTACACAATGAAAATATGAATTGCAACATCACACTTTACTCCATAATTAGGCACAATTGTTATTTGTCAATTGAAAACAAAATGAAATGTAAAATAAAATTAAAACATTAGAAGAAATCTAAAGGCAGATGTGCAAGACTGATGTTGTAAAGGTATATATATATATATTTATATATAAACCATATACATAAACTCTGAGAACAATTAAATTTTAATAAATTAAAATATTTCTAATTTAATGAATTGAAAGTCTCAGTGAATGTCTCCAAATTGTCCATACATTCAATGTAAATACCTATCAAATCCTGAAGTGTTTTGACATTGATAAGCTGAACCTGAAATTTATAGGACAATTTAAAATGGTAAAGACAGTATTTCAGAAAGAGAGGTTTGGAAAATATACACCATAAGCTATTAAGACATTTTTAATAAAGCTAGATAAATTAATACAGTTGGTACAAAGAAAGACAAATACACAAACGGATCACAGTAGAGCATCAAGAAACAGACCCACATATAAAATGTCAATTTATTTTACATATTTTTATATTCATTTAGCAGGAAAATAAATTATTTCAATTAATGTTGATGAATGGTTTCATTGACCAGCAAAATACTCTCTTTTTTTACATGTCTGAGTATTTTTTCTCTTTCCATATTCCATTTGATTGTCTGCTTTTTTAATGTTTATTTTTACAGGGGACCAGGGGGATTTATAATTAGTTGTACTCAATACATTCTAGATGTGAGTCCCTTTTTCATTATTTATGCTACAAATATATATTACAGCTTTTGTTTTTTCATTTTCTTAATAAATTTCCTGAATGCATTCTATCATCTTGCCTTCTGAAGCTTTCTCATTTTGTCATTTGTACTTAGGTCTACAATCCAATGGGGACTTTTTTTTTTGGTAGTAGAAAAAATTTCATGTTTATCTTCAGTTTGGCTACTATATTTTATTAATAAAATGTTTCTTTTTCCATGCTCTTTAGTGAAAATTTTGTAATGTGCAAGTAGATTTATTTCTGGGCTATCTTTCTACATTTGTTGTGCAATTACCATAATACCGTCATTTTATAATAAACTTTTACATCTCACAACACATTCTTCTTCAACAATATTTCAACTATTTTTTGGCCCTTAATATACATACACATTTTGAAATTAGCTCGTTTATTTATCTAAAGAGATAGTGAAATTGTTGTGAATTTTGGGTAAATGCACCAAAACTATAATATAGTTTGTGTGAAATGGTGTCTTTGAAATATTGAGTCATCTGATCCATAAACATACTGTATTTCTACATTTATTTATTTATTTTAAATTTTCTCAGCAACATATTATTGTTTTATGTTTATAGGTCTTTCACATCATTAATTAGAATTGTATTCTAGGTATGTGATATTTCCAAAACTATAGGTATAGCAATTTTTATTAATTTTATTTTTAAGTGTTTGATATTGTCACCTAAACATAAAATTGATTTTTCTATATTAGCCTTGTATCCAACTACTTTGCTGAATTTACTTATTCATGATAACAACCTTTAAAAATGTGTTTAAATGTTCTCAGTGCATAATTATAACACTGATAAATTAAGAGAGTTTGCCTATTTCTTCCAAGTTACATATTGCTCTTCCTCCATTTTACTTTATTCTACTGGATCTAAACTATGCTCTTGTTGAATGGAAGTGGTGTCAGTAGATAATTCTTCATTACACCCACATCAAAAAAGGGTTTCAAAAATTTCATCATTAAATATGTTACTTCACCATAACTGATGATAGGTAGGTAGGTAGATATTTAGTTAGACAATTGATGAAAGACAGACTGCGAGAAAGAGAGGGGGAGGGAGGGAGAGAGAGATTGGAGAGAGAGTTCTCTTGAATACCAAGTTCTTTAGAAGTCCCTTCCTATTTTAGTCTGTTCACATAAAGGAGTTAATTGAGTGACACTGTAATCATTAACTAGCATTGCACTCTTGAAGCCAATCCATCCCATATATGGTATATTATCATAGCAGAGGATGTTGGCAATCTGCCTCTATCTGCTCTCATCCCCTTTACTTTTCTCAAGAACAGGATCTCCTGGTATTTTTTCATTCCCAAGAGTCACCCCACCTCTTCCTGTGGTGCTCCAATATTTATTAATAGAAGCACCTGGGAATTTCTGTCTTCATCATCATAAAACAGAAAATAACCAATGACTGAATGTACGGTAATGTACATACCCCAGCTTCTGTGTCTCTGATTGGACAACTCTGTGATGTTTGGAAAAGGTCTTAAAAGTGAAATACTGTCTCCCTGGTTTCCCTGAGGGACTAAGCCAAAGAAATCCTGATGGAGATTGTTTGGCATCTCATCCTTGCTTGACTTTCTTGAGTTTCCCTTCCCACATACTCACCACATTGTGGATTTTCCTGGGATCAGTTCTTCACAAAGCACTTTCATAGGAATCTTCATATTAAAATGCTTCAATTTGGCTTTTCCAAGAAGCAGATTATATATGGATTCTTTTCACCTAGTAGTTTGTTTAAAGTTTGGAAATCTATAATCATGAATTGACTTTACCCAAAACACCCTCTTCTGATTTTGGTAATAAAACTGGTCCCATAAATACACTGGTCTCCTAAAACTCATAAAATACTGACCTCATAAAACAATATGAAGTCTTTCTCTTTTGCTATTCTTAAAGTATTTCAATATGTTTGGATTTGTCTTTATGTTTGGATTTGTCTTTCATTATGTTTGGATTTGTCTTGCATTGTCTTTTTGGTGAAATTTGTCATTGAAATAATATAAATTCTGTGTTTCTTCTAGGTTTTAGATTGTTTTCTTTCTAGGTTGTTTTGTGTTGCTGAAGGTGGTGCTTAAGTATTCATTAATTTATACAATCATAAAATTTTCTTCTCATCCTGTTCCTATACTGAATTACATTGATTGATTTTTAAATACTGAACCAGCCTTGCATCACTAGGCTAAACCATACTTGATCATCATATATACTTCTTTTAATATATTGGAAAATTATATTTGCTAATAAATAGTTACAATTTTAGCATCTATGTCCATGAGAAATATTTATCTCTAATTTTCCTTTTTTACAGTCTTCTTTTTTAAATTTTGTGATCAGTGTAATAAGATCTTCATAAAATGAATAGTAAAGAGTTCCCTCTGCTTATATTTTTTAGAGATACTGTCTAAAATGCATGTTGATTTTTCAAAAGCTTGGTGGAATTATCTATTGAAACTATTCGAGCTTGCAAATTTCTTTTCAGGGATATTTTAATTAGAATTTCTTTAATGAGTATAGGAATATTCTGATGCCTATTTTACCTTCTTTGTGTTTTGGAAGTTAGTGGCTTTAAAAGAACTGTTTTATTTCTTGTAAGTTATTAAATTTATGAAGGTAAAGTTGTTTCTAATATTTTCTTATATTTTTAAGGGCTCTAGGATTTGTAGTGATATCCCGTGCTTCCTAATGTTGGTGATTTGTGTCTTCTCTCTTTGTATTTTTGTCATTCTTGCTAGACGTTTACCAATTGTATTAATCTTTTTGAAGAATCCGTTTGTTATTTCGTGAATTTTGTTTCCCTCTTTTCAATTTATGCTCTTAAATTTTTTTTCTTCTGCTTGCACTTGGGCTATTTTGCACATCTTTAATTAATTTTTAAAGGTGAATACATAAATTATTGAATTATAGCCTTTTCTCTTCTTAAGTATCATTGACTGCTTTTACTATGTTCTCCATGTTTTATTCTACATATAACATATGTGCAATATATGTTATATTTCCATCTTTCAGTTGGTTAATTTTAAAAATTTTCTTTGACATTTTCACTCTTTGATTATTTAGAATTGTATTGCTCAATCTGCAACTTTTGGAGCTTTTTTGTTACTTTATATTATTGATTTCTAGTTTATTCCATTATGGTTATAGACATATGCTGTAGAATTTTAAATATTTTCAGTGTTTTGAGGTTGCTTTAAGTCTGGAATTGATCGTTCATGGTGAATGTTGTGTGAGTGCTTGGAAAAATGTATATTATGCTGTTTTGGGGTAAAGTATTCTATAAATCTTGATTAGGCCCTTTCATTGACTGTGTTGTTAATTTTCTATGTCTTTGCTTATTTCCTATCTAGTAGTTGTATCTGTTGCTGAGAATAGGGTGTTGAACTTTAACAGTGTAATTGTGGATTTTTCTATTTCTTCTTTTGGATATACCAGGTTTTTAAAAATTCAACCATTTATTTGTATTTTATTAATTTTTTATTGATACATAAGAATTGTATTTTGAGAGTGTTGTTCAGTGTGTTGTCTCTTTCAGATTAATCCTTTTATCATTATATAATATTTTTGTCTACAGTAATTTTTTTCCTTTCGAAATCTACTTGTCTGGTATAATATAGCCATAGTAAAATATAGCTATTATTTACTTTTTATTTAATGTTTACATTTTTAATCCTTTTACTATCAACCTATTGATGTCTCTATATTTGAAATGGTTTTTGTCGACAATATTTGATAGCATATTGATTACAGTGTTTTCTTTTGTTTTGCTTTGCTTTGCTTTTAATCTACTCTACCTATCTCTGCCTTTTATTCATTTATTAAGACTGTTTATATTTAATGTGACTGTTGATAATTTAGGACTTAACCTTGTTTTTCTGTTTTCTGTTTGTTTCCCCTCTTTATTTTCCTGTGAGTTGTTTGAACATCTTTAATTTCATCTTCATTTATTTACGTGTGTTTGATTGCATCATTTTGTCTAATTTTCTCAATCATTTTCTAGGTATTAGAATATGCATGTGTAACTTAGTCTGATAGTTTTGACGTTTTAGCACTGCAAGTCAATATAGAAATGTTACTTTTATTTTGGTCCGTTTATCCTCCCTACTACTTAATATAATTGTCTTAAATGTTTCTTTTACATGCATTGAGCATCACATTAGATGGTGTTTTGTTATTTTTGCATCTACCATCCAATACAATCTTAAAAGCTCATGAGAAATAGAATGATCTACTTTTTTAAGGGTAAGTCTTTTAGCAAAAAAAATCTTTTTTTTTTTTTCTTTTTTTTGTTTTTCGAGATAGGATCTTGCTTTCTCACCCAGACAGGAGTGCAGTAGTGTGTTCACAGTTCATTGCAGCCTGGACCTCCTGGGCTCAAGCGATTCTCTCACCTCAGCCTCTCAAAGTGTTAGGATTACAGGCACCTGGTCAAAATAATGTCTTATTTTGCTTTGTGGAATAATGTATTTATCCTTTATTTCTGATAGATATTTTTACTTGACATACTATTTATACTTGACAATTCTTTTCTTTTATACTTGAGAATTGGTGTGCCACTTTCTTCTGGCCTCTGTGGTTTAAAGTGAGAAATCTGCTGCTGTCTTTGTTTTCAGACACTTCATTATGATCTGTCTCAGTGTGGATTTTTGGTGCTTTATCTTATTTGGTGTTTGCTCAACTTCTTGAATCTGTAGATTAATGTCTTTCACCAAATTTTGGGTGCTTTAGAATTATTTTTGAATATTTTGTAGTACCTCTCTCTCTTTTTCTTTCTTTCTTTCTTTTTTTTTTTTGAGACTGAGTCTTGCTCTGTCGCCCAGGCTGGAGTGTAGTGGCATGATCTCGGCTCACTGCAAGCTCTGCCTCCCGGGTTCACTCCCTTCTCCTGCCTCAGCCTTCTGAGTAGCTGGGACTACAGGCCACCATGCCCAGCTAATTTTTTGTGTTTTTAGTAGAGACGGGGTTTCACCACGTTTGCCATCATGGTCTTGATCTCCTGACCTCATGATCCACCCGTCTTGGCCGTCCAAAGTGCTGGGATTACAGGCATGAGCCAGCATGCCTGGCCCTCTCTTTTTCTATGCAGTTTTTTATGATACACTTGTTAACTCTGTTGTTATGGTCACAAAGTCCTTAAAGCTACTTTTAAAAAAAAAAAGTCTGTTTTTCTCTCTGTTGCTCAAATGGGTAAATTCAACAATCTGGTCCCAAGTTCACATGTCCTATCCTTTGTTATGTCAGTTCTACAGTTTAGCCCAATCAGCATGTTAATTATAGTAATTGTATTTTTTAATTCTATAATTTTCATTTGGTCATTTTTTTCTGACTTGTTTTTTATGAGATTTTCTCTGTTTTTATTTGTTTCAAGATAATTGTTAATTTTTGTCAAAGCATTTTTATAATGATTGTTTTAATGTCAGATTTTCCTAAAATCTGAATTATGTAAATATTTGGGTTTGTTGATTGTCTTTCTCATTCACGTATTGATTTTTCTTGGTTTGATGGGTGATTTTTTATTGTATCCTAGATATTTTGGATATTATATCACGAGTCTCTGAATTCCATTCATTTAACTTTTTGATAAGCATTCCCTGCCCACATTCAGTTTTGGCACTAGGTCTAGGTGGGTGCCCATATTTACCTCCCTATTGGATTCTGTCAACATTACCCCAAGAAAAAAGAATCATTGACTCAAATTGCCTTGCTGCAGACAAGTGGAATAAAGGTTCCATTTTCCTTTTTTACTTTCTTTTTCTTTTTTCTTTTTTTTTGTTTTTTGAGACACAACTTCACTCTTGTTGCCCAGGCTGGAATGCAATGGCACAATCTCGGCTCACTGCAACCTCCACCTCCTGGGTTTAAGCGATTCTCCTGCCCCAGCCTCCTGAGTAGCTGGGATTACAGGCATGTGCCATCATGCTCGGCTAATTTTTGTACTTTTAGTAGAGATGGGGTTTTACCATGTTGGCCAGGCTGGTCTCAAACTCCAGATCTCAAGTGATCCACCTGCCTTGACCTCCCAAACTGCTGAGATTACAGGCTTGAGCCACAAAGCCCAGCCCCAAGGGTTCAGCTTTCTTCTCTGCCCCACTGACAGCTTGCTGGAAAAGTGAAATAGTGAATTGCACATTACTTTTTATTAGAAGTATATGATCACCACTGCATTACAGCTCTAACGCTAAAGTATGTTAACACTATCCTGGGGCTGAAAAAAGCAGAGAGTGGGGCACTAGGGAAATGGGAACACAGTGCCAACTATCCTTACCTCCCACTTCTTTGTTGTACTGCTGTCGAAGTGGGTAGATTGGACGTTTAGCTCCCAACTGTGCCTCTCTGACACCAGTGGAGGGAGAAGTGGAATGTCTACACCTCATATCATCTTTATCTGCCTTTTTGGTGTTGGGTGCCCAGTAAGTCCAACTGATAAGGTGAGGTGGATAAAAAATAAAGTAAAGAAATTAAAGAGCCAACTAGCCCTGATTCTCACAGCATTATGCACTCTTGTTATTGTCAGGTGGGTTTGCAGATTCAATTCTTCATTGGATTTCAGTTGGTATCCCAGGTTGGGGAACCAGCAGAAATGAAGGGGAGGTTATGAGCAGAGACAGCTACTCCCTTCTGACCCTACCTACCTTGTTAAATTTCCCAGCTGCTGAATAGTGGTAGAGGTTCTGCTTACTGCTAGATCATATTAACACTATTCTGGGAACATTTGGAACATGTCAATTGCTACCTTGAAGTAGTGTGGGAATGGGGAAGATCAACTTCCTTTATAGACCTGCTGAAGCCTTTTAATGGGGAAAGGAGAAAAACACATTTTTATTATTAGTGTTAGGCTGGAAAAGGTTTGTATTCGACAAAAGATTTTCTGCTGTCTGTTGTTTTGCCATTTGTTTTTCAGACTTTGGCTTAAATAAACAGCCTTTACTTCGAGCTTTGTTTTGCTTTTATTTTTTAATTATACTTTAAGTTCTAGGGTACATGCCACAAAGTGCAGGTTACATATGTATACATCTGCCATGTTGGCGTGCTGCACCCATCAACTTGTCATTTACATTAGGTATTTCTCCTAATGCTCCCCTTCCCCCAGGCCTCCACCTCCTGACAGGCCCTGGTGTGTGATGTTCCCCACCCTCTGTCCATGTGTTCTCATTATTCAATTCCCACCTATGAGTTAGAACATGCAGTGTTTGGTTTTCTGTCCTTGTGATAGTTTGCTGAGAATGATGGTTTCTAGCTTCATCCATGTCTCTACAAAGGACATGAACTCATCCTTTTTTATGGCTGCATAGTATTCCATGGTATATATGTGCCACATTTTCTTAATCCAGTCTATCACTTATGGACATTTGGGTTGGTTCCAAGTCTTTGCTATTGTGAATAGTGCCACAATAAACATACGTGTGCATGTGTCTTTATAGTAGCATGATTTATAATCCTTTGGGTATATACCCAGTAATGGGATTGCTGGGTCAAAGGATATTTCTAGTTCTAGATCCTTGAGGAATCACCACACTGTCTTCTGCAATAGTTGAGCTAATTTACACTCTCACCAACACCAATACCTGAATAGTATTGCCTAGGTTTTCCTCTAGGGTTTTTATGGTATTATGTCATACATTTAAGTCTTTAATCCATCTTGAATTAATTTTTGTATAAGGTGTAAGGAAGGGATCCAGTTTCAGCTTTCTCCATATGGCTAGCCAGTTTTCCCAGCACCATTTATTAAATATGGAATCCTTTCCCCATTTCTTGTTTTTGTCAGGTTTGTCAAAGATCAGATGGCTGTAGATGTGTGTTAGTATTTCTGAGGGCTCTGTTCTGTTCCATTGGTCTATATCTGTTTTGGTACCAGTACCATGCTGTTTTGATTACTGCAGCCTTGTAGTATGGTTTGAAGTCAGGTAGTGTGATGCTTCCAGCTTTGTTCTTTTTGCTTGGGATTGTCTTGGCTATGTGGGTTCTTCTTTGGTTCCATATGAACTTTAAAGTAGTTTTTTCCAATTCTGTGAAGAAAGTCATTGGTAGCTTGATGGGGATGGCATTGAATCTATAAATTACCTTGGGCAATATTGCCATTTTCAAGATACTGATTCTTCCTACCCATGAGCATGGAATGTTCTTCCATTTGTTTGTGTCCTCTTTTATTTCGTTGAGCAGTGGTTTGCAGTTCTCCTTGAAGAGGTCCTTCACGTCCCTTGTAAGTTGGATTCCTAGGTATTTTATTCTCTTCATAGCAATTGTGAATGAGGGTTCACTCATGATTTGGCTCTCTGTTTGTCTGTTATTGGTGTATAGGAATGCTTATGATTTTTGCACATTGATTTTGTTTCCCAAGACTTTGCTGAAGTTGCTTATCAGCTTAAGGAAATATTGGGCTGAGGCAATGGGGTTTTCTAAATATACAGTCATGTCATCTGCAAACAGGGACAATTTGACTTCCTCTTTTCCTAATCGAATACCTTTATTTCTTTCTTTTGCCTGACTGCCCTGGCCAGAACTTCCAACACTATGTTGAATAGGAGTGGTGAGAGAGGGCATCCTTGTCTTGTGCCGGTTTTGAAAGGGAATGCTTCCAGTTTTTGCCCATTCAGTATGATATTGGCTGTGGGTTTGTCAAAACTAGTCTTATTATTTTGACATACGTTCCATCAATACCTAGTTTATTGAGAGTTTTTAGCATGAAGGGCTGTTTTATTTTGTCGAAGGCCTTTTCTGCATCTATTGAGATAATCATGTGGTTTTGGTTGTTGGTTCTGTTTATGTGATGGATTATGCTTTTTGATTTGTGTATGTTGAACCAGCCTTGCATCATAGGGATGAAGCTGACTTGACTGTGGTGGATAAGCTTTTTGATGTGCTGCTGGATTCGGTTTGCCAGTATTTTATTGAAGATATTTGCATTGATGTTCATCAGGGATATTGGTCTAAAATTCTCCTTTGTTGTTGTGTCTCTGCCAGGGTTTTGTATCAGGATGATGCTGGTCTCATAAAATGAGTTAGGGAGGATTCCCTCTTTTTCTATTGATTGGAATAGTTTCAGGAGGAATGGTACCAGGTCCTCCTTTACCTCTGGTAGAATTCAGCTGTGAATCCGTCTGGTCCTGGACTCTTTTTGGTTGGTAGGCTATTAATTATTGCCTCAATTTCAGAGCCTGTTATTGGTGTATTCAGGGATTCAAGTTCTTCATCTAAATAACATTTACTTATTATATATGGGTGCTCCAGTGTTGGGTGCGTATATCTTTACAACTATTACATACTCTTCCTAAATTGACTCCTTTATGATTATATAATGATCTTCTATGTGTCTTTTTATAGTTTTTATCTTGAAATCTACTTTATCAGTTATAAGTATAGTTGTTTCTGCTCTTTTTTCACTTCAATTTTCATGGAATATCTTTGTATACGTAAGTACCGGAGAGGAAAGGGGGTACTCCAACTTGATGGCATCAAAAGTCAACACGAACTTACAAGTAAGTTTGAGTAACCTTGGTGGCAAGTAAATCAGTAGATTGCAAATGTGATGCTTAGAAATTTGGAGTAATTGCAAATTTATAATTTTTTTACAATGATTCCATCAGTTAATAAACTTCTTTGATTTTTAAATCAAGCATAATCCCATTAAAAATTATTTTTAAACAATACTTTTCAGAATTAATGTACTTTTTCCACACACTTATCTAATATTAATTTTACACAAAATTCTGATGGGAATATTTGGTATGGTTTCTGGAGCTACCATCTTCTCTTCTGCATTGTTTTTGTTATGGTAAAAGTAGATGTTTTACTAATTTTCAACTAATTTTATCTAATCCACTAATTTTCAACTAATTTTAACTATTCTGCTAGTAAGTAATTTGGCTTATTTTTTTTAAAGGACAAACTGTGAATTTATTAAGAATCGTAAAAAGCAAAGTTACATATAAGAAAAACATTTTTTCATATAAATACAACATTGAAATTTTTTATTACTATTGCTACCGATTTAGAAATCAAAATATTCTATATGCTGGAGACTTTCATAACTCTCGTGTTAAAAAATAATCTCAAAATATTGTGCACTTTTTTTTTAGGTGACATATACCCATGCCTTTTCCATTAAAAACATATTCCACATTTTGTGATAAAAATAAACTTCAGTGTTTTTTTAATTTAAAATGTAATTTACTTCATTAATAGTTTTCACATTGTGTATTGATTCTTGTTTATATTTGAAATGACTCTGGCATAAAATTTGATAATCTAGTGGTTTTTTTTTTTGAGACGGAGTCTCGCTTTGTCACCCAGGCTGGAGTGCAGTGGCGCGATCTCGGCTCACTGCAAGCTCTGCCTCCTGGGGTTTCACTGTGTTAGCCAGGATGATTTCAATCTCCTGACCTCGTGATCCGCCCGCCTCGGCCTCCCAAAGTGCTGGGATTACAGGCGTTCTTAACTTTTATTTTAAATTCGGGGGTACATGTGCAGGTTTGTTATATAGTTAAATTGCATGGCACGAGGGTTTGCTGTACATATTTAATCACCCAAGTAATAAGCATACTACTTGAAGGCTGTGTTTTGATTTTCCCCCTCTTCCCACCCTCGACTTTCAAATAGGCCCCAGTGTCTATTGTTCCTTTCTTTGTGTCCATGTGTAGCCAATGCTTCGTTCCCTCTTATAAGTGAGAACATGTGGCATTTGGCTTTCCGTTCTTTTATGAATTCACTTAGGATGATGGCATCCAGCTCCATCCATATTGCTGCAAATGATATGATCTCATTCTTTTTTTATAGTTGCATAGTATTTCATAGTGTATGTGTGCCACGTTTTCTTTTTCCAATCTACCATTGATACACATTTAGGTAGATTCCATGTCTTTGCTTTTTTGAATACGACTGTGATGACCATACGTGTGCATGTATTTTTATGGTAGGACGATTTATGTTCCCTTGGGTGCATACTCAGTAATGAGGTTGCTGGGTCAAATGATACTTCTGTTTTATGTTCTTTGAGAAAACACTGCTTTCCAAAATGACTGAACAGCTAATTTGCATTCCTGCTAGCAATGTATAAATGTTTCCTTTTCTCCACAAACTTGACAATATGTATTTTTTTTTTTTACTTTTAAATAATAGCCATTATGACTAGGATGAGATGACGTATTGTGGTTTTGATTTGCATTTCTCTAATGATTACAGATGTTGAACTTTTTTTTATATGCTTACTGGCCACTTTTGTGTCTACTTTTGAAAAGTGTCTGTTCATGTCCTTTGCCCACTTTTCTTTTTCTTAAAGCTGTTTCCTATTTAGTGGTGAAGAGATAAAAATGTGATGGAATATTAACCTCACACTGTATATGGGAAGCCTGTGTGAAGGACTGACTGAAGAGAGAAATGAAAGAGATTTATTGGTTATTTTAGTTTTTCATTTTTCTGTTGAAACTCAAGGGTGTAGTAACCTTTTTCTGACAACTCAAGTGAGACCAGGAACAAATCTCTAATACAGGGAAAAACAGAAAATGGAGAACAGAGAAAAGAAACTACACTCAGAGGCAAAAAAGCAAAGAATAGCCACGTGGAGAGGGGAAAATCCACATTTTTGTCCATTCAAAGGTATTTTCTATGTATTTCCCCATAGATTTTTAGTAAATACTATTTTTTCTCATTGTTCCTAACTATTATATAGCTATTTAGTTCTTGGAACATAATGTAGAATTATGATATTCATTATCGATTAAAAAATTAAAGTACTATATGTGTCCAATATAATATAGAATGAGGTAAGTTGAAATAGAGTATCAGTGACTTATTGGCAGAAAGCATCAGACCCCAAACAAAGACAATGGACTCTTGGTTCTGTTAGATCATTGATATCTAACTTTAGAAAAACTCGTTAATTTCTTTCCCTTTTATCTTTGAAAATAATAGATTATTTAACATATACGTTTTCTACATGCTCTAAATTCTATGATGTTAATAAAATATTTTATTTGAAGACTAACTAGGTGCTTGATAATTTGTAATATAGAAGTCAATTAGGTTGACATAAGTAACAATTCAATCTTCCCTGTGGCTGTAAGTACTATGGTGCCTAGATACAGAAATAAATACATGAAGAATTATTTATAATATTTTAATATAATTCAATTATTTTTTGTTTTTAACATTCTCTAAACTTTATACAGTCTTCTAAATAAAGATAATGATTGAAAGGGAAAAGAAATGTTTAATGAAACATAGGAGCAGATTTGCTTTTCATATTTTCAGCTTATTTTATATCTCAATTCTGTAACAAAATATCTTAATCTATTTAAGAGAAGATTAAATGAATAATCCCTACAACCCAAAATATCTCAAAATTTGGCAAATTAAAATAAGTATATAAAAATAATTATTAACATATTGAAATATTTATATTAAAAATGAAGTAATGCACATAAACAATTGATGTCATTATTTCATTTCAAACATACTAAAATTGAATTAGTGAAGTAAGATATTTCATATTAAATGTATAGTATGCAATACATTGCTACCAGGCGAAGAATCCGTCAAAAATATATAAAAAAAGGAACAGTCAACTGAGCACATTCTATGGGCATATGGGAATTTATGCCCCCCGACTATGGGAATAAATACCAAATAACTATGTTTCAAATATATATGTACATAAAGTGATAACTGATAAACTTTTCTTTTTATTCTTTTTTACCAAAATGAAATCTTTAAAATGGTATAAATGATCAGTTGTCTATAGCATCACATTTAAAAATAATACATTTTAATATCAAGAAATTATGAAATCTATATAATGCCTTAATCAAAAAGCGATTATTACTACCAAACCCCAAATTTTAAATGTATGTGTTTTTATTTTGTAAATAAACTTTAGAGATATTAAAAAATGAATTAACTTTGATTAAGATATTTCTAGATCCTCTGTATATATATCTTTTTCACCCTGGATAGAAACAGAAATACATAATATTACAGCCATATAGTGTGGGTTCCTGGTTCTTTTTAAATTTTGTGAGAACTGTCTTTTAAAATTATTGTTTCTTCTGTACATTAACACTTTGATGCAATTATTAGCCAGCCATGGTTTAGATTCATAGCTTGTTCTGGGAAAGTTTATGCTTAAATTGATTTTAAAAAACTGTATTTCTGCTTTTAAAATAAACATCAAAATTAGGTCACTCAGAAAAACAAATAGGCTATACTTAATTAGGATATTTAAAAGTCAACAAGTGTTGATCATATTTCCTTTAATAACTAACTTACCATGTTATTTTGTTATGATTTTCTCAATTTATTAAAGGCATTACTGTCTGCCATGGGATTTTTTTAGTGATATATAATAATAAATAGTGCTTAAAATGTATCGAGTATGTGTAAATTAACACAGTTTGCATTTCCTAATGACTCTATCCTCACTGAATATATTTACAGAATGTCAGTTCAAAGAGAGTTAGTATAATATAAATGCTCGTCTTTCACAAAAGAGTCATGAACTAGAATAATATTTAAAAATTTGCTAAAGTAAACTCCTTTTTTGCTTTCATATCCAGTAACATATATTCAGGCCATGGAGATTAATAATAAAACATGATGGAGTATTTCTTTACATCTAAAATTATTATTTTATTTAACCCATTCTACTTCCTTCAAAGAATTGTGTATCTAATGCAATACTGTATGTAAAACTGTCTTATTATTGTAAAGTACTTCAAGTTTAAATGAGTTATTGGACATTCTTTGGGCATATATTATGAATTGTATTTATCAAACAGTAAATACAAAATTAACAAAATGTGATATTTTTACTCTAATAGTGCAGGTTATTTAAGAGAAGATAAACATATATAACCATAATATATAAGGGAATATTGTAAATGTTTCACATATGATAATTATTTTAATAAGTTGCATTGAATGAATAACGATAACAAGGAGCTCTAGAATCTTATCATGTATAGAAATTGAAAGATATATAGCATTCAAAAGATCATATAATTGTTATAGATACACGGAAATGTCTTTCTACTCACACATTTTACTAGGACAATAATAAGGAAGAAGTGTGCCGATAATTCTAAATCATAATTTTTTTGTATAATTATTTAGGCTTAAAACAAAATTACAAAGAGAATTCTTCTCTCTGATATTCTCTGACATTCAGGGTGTACAATATGTATCTATAGCATATGAAAAGAACAAATAAAGATATTCGTACAACTTGTAAATTAAAATGTAATTCTAGTATGCTTCATAAATTTTCATCACTTCTGGCACAGTTATATACATATTTACTTTAATTTGTGTTTCTTCTCTCTATGCTTTATGTTTTCTAGGGTCAAACTTAATTCAAGAAATAAAGTAGGTAGAGGGTATTGCACTTGTAAGCAAAGTGATAGCTTCAAATTTTACTCATACATATTTTTCTGCTAATATCTGGGCTAAATAAGACTAAAAGCTCAAAATTCAAATAACATTAACCATCACAAGTTAAGTCATAAAGAATAATAATCAAAAGAAGAAAATTACTTTTTTTCTGTATATTAATTGCCTATAATCCTATCAAATAAAAAAGAGCTAATAACTGTTTAAGTGGGTCCTATAAAACAATAATAATTTGTTTTCTACCTTCTCACTTCATAAATAACTTATTTTAACTATTAAGAAATATCCATTTCTGGTGCTGTTTAAAATACTACATATTACTGAAGAAAGTAAATAGAAAATTATTTTTATGAAGCAAACATGGAAAACAATAAAAGTTCAAAGGAAGAATGCACAAAAAGAAAAAAACTGTGAGCTAATGGTCATTATAAATATCTATGCAAAACAGCAGTGATTCTATTATACTGTTGCTAGAAAGTGGAAGTGTTATACATGTTTTTGAAAGAACAATGTCTAAATTTGACTTATTCAAAATTTTGAAACCATAAATTTCATAAGTTCAACTCCTAAATATTTTTGCAGCAGAAGTAATATTCAAAATGGTTAAGAAATTTCAGCCTATCATTGTTTGTAATTGCAATGTCAAACAACTGGAAACAACTAATATCCATCAATGGCAAAAATTGCGTAAACATATTGCATTCCAGAGTCATATGATGTGCTGCTGCTAAAGTCAAACAGGTAAATTTACATACATTTGTGTGAAAAATGGTCGAGACGAAATGGTCTAAGGAAAGGAGACTTTATTGCGACAGTTCTGACCACTCCAAGTTCATTAGGCAAAGGGTATGTTTTTTCTGTCTGCCACATGGAAAGGAAGAGATTGTAGCAGATTACTCTTGGTCCTGTCCTGAGAGGCAATCAGACTTCCACCCAAAGCAGCTAGTGGTGGGCAAGGTAATGCTTAGGAGTACAGAAATCATTTCAAGTTATAGTTGAGATACATTAGCTCATTTCAAGAACCCAAAGGTAAGACAGCTGGTAGAGGAAAAAGAGAATATCAAACACAGGTCAAGTCCAGGGAATAGTGGTTTCTAATGGGCAAAATATTTCATATCTTGCTTTCATCTTCCAGAGTCAGAACATAAAAGTAGAAAAGTTTAGGTGTCACAGAAGACAAAGGAAGCTCAAAATTCACCAGTGATTTCAACAATGGTCTTCCTTTAAATAACAATTATAAGCTAAGGGAAGAAAGATAATTCATGTATTTCAAATTCAACTTTGATCATACCTCAATTTGGATATTGTGATCATCATTATGTTTTGTCATTTAAATTGACATAGTAGTTTTTAACCACTAAGTGTGACTGAAAATATGATCACAATTTCATCCAGGGGATGAGGGGGAAAAACACAAAATATTTGTCCACAGATTATACATTTTAAGTGATCATGAGAATAAAAATAATATTTCTTCATAATGATGGTCTATGAGTCATGCTTGTTTGATTAACATAGAATTTACATACATATGTGTGAACAAGTACATCACAATATATGTCAATAGGTATGGTAGGATTACCTATGTTTCTGTATTTATCCATAACTAGGATTTTATTAAGATCTGTATTTAGAAAAAATAAACATATCCAGGGTGTTAGACTGGTAGCAGCCTGGGAAGCTGAAAAGATAAAATTCATAGTTTTCTATATAACTTTAAACGGTTTAATTTTTTTCTTATTAAACCTCTGGACTATCTCCTGTAATTCTCTTATGCTCTTTCAGTATAGCACACTATTTCTTAGTAATGAGAATGCCTGTATCTACACTTGCTTTTTTCATCCTTAATATATTCTTGTGATTTATTTTCATATATTAGCCAACCATTGTCTTTTAAAATTAAGGTTTTGAAAATGGATCAGCATAATAAACTGCTATTTTTAAATGTGTTCATGCAATTCCAGTGTAATTTGAAAAGTGCTTATCTTATTACACAATTAGATATGAATATTATCAAGAAATTTTGTTTATATTGGCATCATTTTCCTATTTTCTCTCTAAATTCTATCATTCTTAATATGAATTAAATTTACTAAAGTGAATGAACTATCACAAACTATCCTCTTCACAAAATGTACATTTTGCCCGTTAGACTATTCATTTTCTGAGCTATTATCTTTTCTCTAATGGTCCAAACAGTATTAATATCTTAATCACTGGTTTCTTCTCAGCAATAAAATAGAAGGGCTTTAGCCATTCCTTGTATTATAATTATCAGAAATTATATTAATAATAGGGAGGAAATGTTTTCAAAGATTCAATTTGTTAATGACATATTAAAGGCCTAAGTGTTGAAAGTCATTAACATGTAATCAATATGTTGATGAAATAATAAGTAATATACTTTATATTACTAAAAAAATTGTAAGTAAAACATATGTAATTATTCATTTACAATATGGATTGCCAAACTAAATTATCTCTAATTACTAGCAGGGCTGCAGTCAAACTATGTCTTATGTCAACTGTGAAGAATGCATTTGTTGGGGCTCATCCAGTACAACATGCCACACTTCCTGGTTATAGTTTTTCTGTCTTTTATTTCACTATAAGCCAGCCAACATTTGCAGAATGCTCTTCCCACTGTACAATCTAAATAAATGTGCTGATTGACAGCAGTCCCTGACCTACCTACAAAGAATAAAATATAATAGCTTTATAGTTTATAATAGAAATGAGTATTAGTAAATTTGCAAAAGAGGGAAATTTAAAATAATAAAATCAATAAAATATGACCATATGTATTAGGTTAAGCCATTTTCTTAAGCAATTATTTTACTTTAATATCAGAATTATAGCTTAAGTATATTTATATCATTTAAAAAGAAACATAGTACACTTCAAAGCTCAATTTCAAAATTACAAAAAATAATACTGCAAGTAATTTAAGAAAATACAGTGCTCTTTAGTATAACGAAATTTAACAACACATTATCATTTGTCTATAGTATTTGTTGTTGTTAATTCAGGTAGTTCTTTTCTAATGGCATTTAGAATGAATGAGCCCTTAGCACGGGATCTGAAAGGAAGCATAATTAAATAAGCAAAGGAAAGTCATTTCCATTTAGGGTGATAGAAAATGCTGTCAAGCTGATTCATGAAATAATATTAGCATACAGCTCTATCCCAAAAGAACAAATGTCTGTATTGTAACAAAGCCAAGTAAGTCACTGTGATCATTCTAGTACAATATCGTGACATGTTGTACTAATGAACAGTACAACTGCCAACAGTTGTGGAAATAACAGGAATAGCATTAACAAAAAATGTCAATTTACTTATATATGCACTTTAACTTGAAGGCAAGAGCTTGGGAAGTGAAAAAAAATGATGGTCAGAATGATTAGATGAATACATTTTATTTATGTTTTGGATAACAGAATATTTAAATCCATGGGTCCATTTATATGTACCCACTTATTTATTATATATTTGTTCATTAAATCATCAAATGGAGCACTTAGTACATGTTAGGATATATGTTTGCTGGGCATTTAAGATGCAAAATTGGATCTATTTCCTCAATAATTTTATTTTCAATATGTAACTTCCTGTGGTGTAAAGTAGAACTATCTACATTTTTCTAATCACAAAGTATCCATCTGAACCTTAAGCAAATTTCATTCTCAGTGTTTCTGCTTCAGAGGGAACTGGGGGCCTGTGCTAGTTCCAGCTATGGGACTTAACTTTCAAGTAACCTTATGTTTCCTTCAAATAATTTTTTCATCTATTACAAAAGAATTAATGCAAGCTGGGGACACAATGTCATAGGGTGTAGTCTCAGCTACTTGGGAGGCTGAGGCAGGAGAATCACTTGAGTTCAGGAGTTTGAGTCTAGACTGGACAACAGAGTGACAACCCTATCTCTAAATAAATAAATAAATAAATAAATAAGAGTTAATGCAAGGGAAATTCACTATAGAAAAAGATATATATTAATAAATCTATATGAATATAAATTTATCTGTGTCTTTTATTTGTGCATTCCTTAAGTTCCACCTATATAAAGAAAATGTAGATCGTGACTACTCACATATAACATCAGGTCTATGAATTAGAATAATAAACAGTGAAAACCATCAAAGCCAATTTCCTTAACAATGTTTAGATCTTACCTATTTCTGTAATTGTTTTATCAGTCATGCCCTAACTGTAATAAACTCAGTGGCCATTTGTACATAGATATATACACAGATACTGCTATATATTACTATAAGTACATTTTAAAAAATTATAATTGACAATTCCATAGAAAAATATTTTAGGCTAAATTTGCTACAAAATTAGTTACTTCTTGAATTGACCTCCATATAGCCAGTTTGAATTGAAAGCGGAATTCATGCAAATTATAAAATTTATTTTAATATAAAACAACGTTAAAAGGGGGTACTTATCCATATATTTAAGGAAATAGAATAAAAGGGACACATATTACTTTAAAAATGAGATCATTTCTTCAGTAAACCAGAAGCTGTTACCACACCTTAGTGTTTGATATGTGTCTGCTAATAAAACTCTTCACTGAGCCAGAATATCTCACAGTCAACACTAATGTCTAAACATCATTGCTGAACTAATTTCCAAGGTATGTATGCAAATGACTGATTGACAAAAGATTGAAACATTTGCAGATACAAAAAACAAGTTTGACATTCAATAAAATTTTAGGTATATCAATTAATAAACTGCAATTCCACACAATATTAAGAATAATGCCTGAATAATAGTTCAGTTTTTCTAGTAATATTCTGTTAAAATCATTTTCATAATTTGAACAATATTTTTATATTTATAGATGTAATCACTTAAAAAGAGGCAATAAATTATATAAATATTCATAATATTTATGACACGGATGCACAAACATAACTTTCTTATATTTGTCTTGTGACTGTCTTTGAAAAGTTCTATTACCCTGGACATGACAGTAGTTTTAGTATTAACATAATATTAAGAATGTAAAAATGTATCTTCATCCATATAATATGATCTTGTGATCAGTAAATCATAACAATAATGGAATCACCTTAGAAAATTTAGTTTAAGAAACATTTTTTAAAACCTTCAGATTTCACATAAAGTAAATATTTAGCTACATTAACACATACACACATACACACCCCTTGCTAACAATTTTCCCTCTGATATAGACAGAATACATTTCTGTATCTTCCTCATTAACTAGCAACCTTCTATCATGCAAATCTAGCCATTTATCATTGTGTCTCACTATCATACATCAAAATCTACTTTTTAAAATGAACTGATTTTACTCATATAAATCTGCTCAAAAGTATTTTGCATTTTTTCACAGAAGCTGTAATAGGCAAATTCTCATATACTCCTATTAGAGGCCCTCCAAAATGAACATAGTCTAAATTATTGTTCTTGCATACCCTGCTGCAGAGGTTACAAATGTTTAGCTTCATTTTTACTTATCTTGTCCAAGGTAAAACAAGTATCATCGTCATTGTTGAATTGTATAGTGTGCCAGATCTGCAGTGTGATCTAAAACTAATATTGTCAGTGATGACCCTAGTCAAGAAAACTACAGATTGTATTTATTAACTTATTTTTAAACGTGTAATCATTTTAAAAGTTTTTGATCCAGCTTTATTACCTTTAGAAATTGTAGAATAGCAGTGATTAAAAGATAAATGTTACTTTTATAGAAAATGTAGCATAGCACTTTATTTCTGATATGTGTACAACGTTTGAGTTAATATACTGTAAAGCAAATAAAGATAGGTAAATATGTAGTACATGTGTATTTGGCATTGTTCTAGATTCTCTTATGCACATAGGACAACTAATTAAATTCTGTTATGTAGGTGATTTTTAAAAATTTATAAATAAATTATGGCTCAGAGCATCTAAGTAACTTTCTCAAGGTTATGCAACTAATAAATTGGTCTGACTGAGTGTATTTGGCTTTTCACAACAGTATGGTACTCAAGAAAACACATGTCAAATGTGTATACAATGCACATTTGTATACACATATGTGTATGTGTATATTTTCTTGTATCATACTGCCTATAAGTACGTAATCCCACAGGCAGTATGTTACAAGTAAATATGCACATATAAATTTGTGCACACCTCTATAGAGACACACACTTTCATTTACATTTTAACCTAATTTTAGTTTCAAATTTTTCAAAAATGGCTTTTCAATTACAGAAAGGAAAATGCTTCATATACTTCAAAGCTATCTACTAATGTATATCATGTTATTTATAGTCAGTAATGCTTATTCTTTGACTGGTGTTTGTAAATCTAATACATACTCACCAATATATAAAGAGACAACATGATGTAATATAACAAGCATAGGTGGTAGAGAGAACGAAGTGGACCTGCCTTTTCCCAGTTGAGTGATAATCAGTAATTCACATAGTCTTCCTCATACGAATGGTCATCACTTATAAAATCAAGATACTAATGCATACAGTAGTCCCCTTTTATCCATTGTTTTGCTTTTTGGAGATTCAGTGACCTCTGGTTGGCCACAGTTTAAAAGTAATAAATAGAAAATTCCAGAAATAAACAATTCATGAGTTTAAAATATGTTGTTCCAAGTATAACGATAAAATCACACTATCCCTTTCCTGCCCAGGACATGAATCATCCGTTTGTCAAGCATACCTGTGCTGTCTATGCTACCTGTTAGTCACTTAGCATCTGGCTGGGTGATCAATCAAATCAACTGTCTCAGTATTACAGAGCTTGTGTTCAAGTCACCTTTACTTTACTTAATAAAATTTTCAAAGTGCCAGAGTGGTGATGCTGGCAACTTTGATATGCCAAAGAAACGCTGTAAAGTGCCTCCTTTTAGTGAAAAGGTAAAAGTTCTCAATTTAAAAAGGAAAGACCAAAAATCTTATGGTGAGATTGCTAAAAACTATGGTAAGAATGAATCTTAGTCATGAAGAAGGAAAAATAAACTTGTGCTAATTTTGCTGTTGCACTTCAAATTGCAAAAGTTGTGGCCACAGTGTGTGATAAGTGCTTAGTTAAGATGGGGAGGAATTAAATTTGTGTGTGGGAGACATGAACAGAAATGTGCCCCAACTGATGTAATCAGGGTTGGTATTATCCACTGTTTCAGACATCCACTGAGGGTCTTGGAATGTATTCCCCCATGGATAAGGAGGGACTACTGTACCTTTCAATGTGGGTTGAAGCTGTACATTACAGAGTATAGATGCTTAATAAATTTTGCTTATAATAATCCCATCATCATCACCATGATAATTATCAACAGTAATTATTATTGATAAAAAAAATCAGAGTAAAATTTCTGTCCATAGAAAAGATCTCTAGTGTGGCCTGCTATATTCTCATTCCTAGAGCTCACTTCTTATAGGATATGTAGTATTCTGAGTGATCCAGCAATTCTAGTGCTGAAACAGAAGACTGTTTTCTTTAGTCCTATTTTTTGATAACAATTTCATCTTACACTCAATAGAACATTTAATTTTATGAAAGGCTATTAACTCTATAATTTATCTTCAAAATAGCATGTGCATTTTACAGGAGCAAGTTTTATAAATTTTTAAATGGAGTGAATAGAGGCTTACAGAAATGAAATTTCCACTTAGATCTCTATGTTACTAGAAACCCAGGATTTCTAGGTTTTGCTCGTGTTTGTGTTCACATAACCATCAGTCACTTAATTTATCAATATTCTTATTCTTCTACCTTTATATTGCTCAGGATTTATAATCAAAGAATTACAAGTACATGTATAATATGCTGATAGTGAAGTATTTCTGATTTGTTTTATAACCCGTATGTGGTGTCAATGCTGAAAACCTTCCGATCTCAGTTTTCCCTAACTTTAATTCAAGGAATGACTTTCCCCAGATCTAAATGACTGACACAAAGGGATGCTTTGCTTTAGTATTCAACTGCTTAAGTTTTCCTTCTCTGTCTTTGATGTTCTAAAAATAAGCTTCTATACAGAATATTTCTTCATTTTTGTTAATTTTTACATCACTATGTTTAACAATTACTAGGATTTCAATAAACACTTCTATTAGTAAAATATTTTAATGCATACCAAAATGCATTTTGGTGCATTAGTAAAATATTTTGCATACCATTTTGCAAAGCATTTTGCATACTAATAGCGGTGTGTAGTGAAAATATATTCAGCTGAATATTTTACTACCATCCATGTGTTATTTTCTTTTTCTTTTCGTTGGAGGGTAAAAAATTGTAATTTATTGAAACTCAACTGGAAAAGTATCAGATGCTTCAGTGTACAATAAATTGCACAAAGCACCCTCAGGTGCATATTCAAGTCAAGTAAAAAATCCCTCCATGTCCCTTTCCCTAGCCCTCACACTCTTGAGATCTTAATATTTGTTCCATGTGCAATCATGCACACTTAATTTGAAAAAGAAAGCCCTGGTATATTTTGATGTATTAATTAGCACCAAATGAGAACAGTTTCATTTTTTTAATAAAGAGAAAAACTCAATCAGTAAGACAACTGGAAAACAAACGGACTCAGCCAATGCTGCTGACATAGATATTGTACATTCCCAGAAATACACAGGCTATTCTACCTAAACAACGGTGTGGCTGCTTTTCAGCCGTTGTTCATGTTGGCAATTGTCCTGTTTCTTAATTGCATTTATCCTTTTTAGAATGGCAGTGTGATTTCTCAGATTTACTGGTGCAATCACCTCCAAGTTCTGCAGAACAATTACCTTTTACTCTGTCTACTAAGCATGTTGTGATCACATTTTTTATTATCTAATAGTTTGTGAGTTGCTCTGAAAATTTCATTTTGATGTTTATTTTTATAATAAATTCTAAGGTATACTTTTGCAATAAATGGGCCTTTGGCAAATAGGACATTGGCATGGTGAACTGAAGATTTGTTTCTTTTTAATAATTATGCTTTTAAAGATAATGCATTAACAAAGCCTCTCTGGTCACAAATTCATATTTGCATCATTGAAGCTCACAGAAAAAAAGGTTAGCCTCCAACTGTGCAAGGTACTAAAGCCAACTCTGATATCTTTCAGAAGAACCAATGGGTTTTTTGTTTCTTTCCTTCTTTCTTTTTTCTTTTCTTATGCTGATTTGTCAAATATCTTTTATATTGTTTATCTTCCTTACGTTCATCATCATCACTAAGAAGTAACTCTAAAACATCTGTGGCATTAATAGACATTTCTTAGCTATTTTCTTCCTCAGGTTTTTATCTGGTTGCAAATACAGTTTTTCCAACATATTAAATCCATCCAAACTGGATTTAATTAAGAATTCTGTAAGCTGACAGGATCATCTAACATCTAAATATTCTGGTAAAAAAACAGGCAATTGTTTTACTAACTAATGCCTTCCTTTTGTCATTCTTACTTGGTATGAGTTGAAGAGCTCTGAGACACAATAAAATCGACATCCCAAGACCAGCATCTTGTGCTTCAGTTTGTATAAATCTACTGAGGCAAAATAAATGCTTCTGTGTTTTAGCTACAAACTGACAACAGCAGTCCAAAAAAGTATCTAAAGAAGGGTTGATTCTCTTTGCAGAGTACTCCAAAAGAGTCAGTTCCTAAGAACAATACACACTTGCAGTTTGGAGCTGCTGGGTAAGGTAAGTAGCACAAAGAACAAAGCCTCTGTAATACCAACCCTTAGATTCCAGGTTACATATGACGTCGATGATGTCTTTCTTGCAGCTGACCCTTGCAATCTCCTTAATAGCATATTCATTAAGAGGCATGGAACATAATTATGTTACAAAGGGTTGTTGAAAAAATGACACATTTGAAATTTTTTAGATTTGGCACATAGTTTTAATAAAGCAGTAGCCTGGGGGATACAGTTAGATTTCAAGAAATGTTTTATTTGCATTTGCAGAAAGGAAGGGCTTTCCTGTGTAATCAATTTATTGACAAGGATTTTAAAGACAGTAGTGCTCTTTCCTCTAAACTAGGCATTTCTCAAAGTGTGTTTCACCAACCAAAAAACCTGCAGGATAGTCTTCCCTCTGTTTCTACTGACTGTTGAGACAGAATTTAAGAAAAACTTTTTTTTTCCACACCCTTTCCTTGGAAACATGAACCAATATTTGTAGGTTATTATTCTCAGATTGCAGTCATTCATCATGTGACTACTGTAGAGACTGAACGAACAGCACCCAGACTTCACATGGCAGTTAATTTTCAGACACTGAAAGCAATAATTAAAAACAACTCAGTACTATTCTGCCGAGCACTAAGAGGACATCTTCACATTCCTTAGTTAAATATGGACATGCACTGGCAAAGCTTTGGATGACAAGACAATATACCTCCTGATGATATACAATATGCTCTCATGCATTTTGTTGCTTTCATATTGCAATAGGGTCTGGCAGAAGCTCTGGAAGTAGTTTAAAGCTGAGACCACAGACTCCTTTTGTTCTCTCAGCTCTGTCTCCAATTGCCACAGACATTATTGCAGTCCCAGAGATCGTGGCACCTGAAATTCAGGCAGATGATGCCTGCCATGGACTCTGTCTTGGCTCCACTTTGGTTCCCACTACCACAGGAACCTCAACCTCATCCCCCACACCATGGCAGCAGCATCTGCCTGCCCTCCATCTTCACACTGCCCAGGTTGTATTTTTCCTTCAGAATATATTTTAAAAGCTTTCTCTAGGTGGTTTCTAATTTTGATATTCTTTATCATGATTACTGATATGATTTGGCTCTGTGTCCCCAACTAAATCTTATCTTGAATGGTACTCCCATAATTCCCACATATTGTGGGAGGGACCTGGTGGGAGACAATTTAAATCATGGGGATGGTTTCCCCCATACTGTTCTTGTGGTAGTAAATAAGTTTCATGAGATCTGAGTTTTATCAGGGGTTTACGCTTTTGCATCTTCCTCATTTTCTTTTGCCGCCACCATGTAAGGAGTGCCTTTCACCTCCTGCCATGATTTTCAGGAATCCACAGCCATGTGGAACTGTAACTCCAATTAAAACTCTTTTTCTTCCCAGTCTTGGGTATGTCTTTATCAGCAGTGTGCAAATGGACTAATACAGTATGTTGGTACCAGGAGTGGGGTGTTGCTGAAAATATACCTGAAAATGTGGAAGCGACTTTGGAACTGGGTAGCAAGAAGAGTTTGGAACAGTTTGGAGGGCTCAGAAGAAGAAAGGAAACTGTGTGAAAGTTTGGAACTTCCTAGAAACTTGTTGAATGGCTTTGACAAAAATACTGATAATGATATGGACAATGAAATCCAGGCTGAGGTGGTATCAAATGGAGATGAAAAACTTGTTGGGAACTGGAGCAAAGGTGACTCTTGCTATATTTTAGCAAAAAGATTGGTGGCATTTTGCCCCTGCCTTAGAGATTTGTGAAACTTTGAACTTGAGAGAGATGATTTAGGGTATCTGGCAGAATAAATTTCTAAGCAGCAAAGCATTCAAGAGGTGACTTGGGTGCTGTTAAAGATATTCAGTTTTAAAAAAGGAGCTGAGAATAAAAGTTCAGAAAATTTGCAGCCCAAAAATGTGACAGAAAAGAAATCTCATTTTCTGAGAAGAAATTAAAGCCAGCTGCAGAAATTTGCATAAGTAACGAGGAGCTGAATGCTACTCCCCAAAACAATGAGGAAAATGTCTCCAAGGTATGTTGGAGTCCTTTGCAGCAGCCCCTCCCATCACAGACCCAGAGGTCTAGGAGGAAAAAATGATTTTGTGGGTAGGGCTCAGGGTCCCCATGCTGTGTGCAGTCTACGGATTTGGTGCCCTGCATCTCAGCCACTCGTGCCGTGGCTGAAAGGGGACAACAAAGAGCTAGGGCCATGGCTTTAGAGGGTGCAAGCCCCAAGCCTTGGCAGCTTCCACATTGTGTTGAGCCTGCAGGTGCACAGAAGTCAAGAACTGGGGTGTGGGAACTTCCACCTAAATTTCAGAAGATGTGTGGAAACACTGGGATGCCTAGGCAGAAGTTTGCTGCAGGGGCAGTGCTCTCATGGACAACCTCTGCTAGGGAAGTGCAGAAGGGAAATTGGGGTTGGAGTCTCCACAAAGAATCCTTACTGGGGCACTGCCTAGTGTACCTGTGAGAAGAGGGCCACAGTCCTCCAGACACCAGAATGGTAGATTCATCTACAGCTTGCATCATGCACCTGGAAAAGCCACAGACACTCAATGCCAACCCGTGATAGCCAGGGGGAAGGCTGTACCCCGCAAAGCCACAGAGGCACATTTGCCCAAGGCCATGGGAACCCACCTCTTGCATTAGCGTGACCTGGATGTGAGAAATGGCATCAAGGGGATCATTTTGGAGCTTTAAAATTTGACTGCCCCACTGGATTTTAGACTTGCATGGGCCCTGTTAATCCCTTTGTTGTGGCCAATTTCTCTCATTTGGAACAGCTGCATTTACCTAATACCAATACCCCATAGTATCTAGGAAGTAATTAGCTTGCTTTTGATTTTACACACTCATAGGCGGAAGGGACTTGCCTTATCTCAGATGAGACTTTGAACTATGACCTTTTGGGTTAATGCTGAAATGAGTTAAGACTTTGGGGGACTGTTGGGAAGGCATGATTTGTTTTGAAATGTGAGGATGTGAGACTTGGAGGGGACAGGGTTAGAATTATATGGTTTGGCTCTGTGTCCCCTCCAAATCTCATCTTGAATTGTACTCCCATAATTCCCACGTGTTGTTGGAGGGACCCAGTGGGAGATAATTTGAATCATGGGGGTGGTTTTACCCATATTGTTCTCATGGTGGTGAATAAGTCTCTTGAGATCTGATGGTTTTATCAGGGGTTTATACCTTGGAATCTTCCTCATTTTCTCTTATTGGTGCCATTTAAGGAGTGTCTTTTGCCTCCTGCCATGATTCTGAGACCTCCCCAGCCATGTGGAACTGTAGGTCCAATTAAACCTCTTTTTCTTCCCAGTCTCGGGTATGTCTTTGTCAGCAACATGAAAACAGACTAATACAATTACTTAATAAATATTTTAAGGTAATTTTTGTATATATGCTGAAACATGTTCATTACATTTTATTTGGGCTACCTCATTACATTAAGTGGAATGATCATCATTTATTTATGATAAATAATTCTCTTTATTTATAGTAGATATTTTTCTTAATCATATTAAAGAATATTTTTTGGAAATTCAAAATGAGTTAGAACTAGTATTTTAGCAATTTTTAAGTTAAATTAACATAGCTATGAGTAACTATGATAGTTGGCACCTTTTTGCTTACAAAGTGGTCATGTTACTTTGGTTTAATGTGATGGGAACTCTTCCTGAATCAGATTAAGCAAAGTTGACTCACTGTGATGAGTCTACTGGGTGCCTCTCTAGTGACCAGGAAACTGTTATGAAATTTATTATCTAAACACTGTTTTTCTTTTAGAAATGGATCTTGCCAAGCATCCTGGTTATTATAAGAATACCCTGAAACCAACAGATTTGAAGATCAACTAGAATGTATTTCTAAAGCTGTAAGGACCCTGTCTTTCCTGTTTCTCATTGTGTATGGACTCTACTCTTACATTTGGCAGAATGTCTTTTCTTACATGGCAGAATACATGTCTCCAAACAGCTCCTGAATTTTCTGTCTGAGTTTCATCCACCTAATGATAGATATGTTTTTCTTTCAGTTTTTTAATTTTACAGCTATATCTGGGAAGGAAACATAATCAACTAAGAATGACTCCGATGACTCCATAAGAACAATTAGCATAAAATTTGTAAGCATGAATGCACAAATAACAACTCTACAATTAATTTAGTAAAATTACATATTATTTAAGGAGAATCAATTAGAGAAAGGACTATAAGGGTTTTATTTTAGAAAAAATAAGCATGAACCATTAAGACATTAAGGAAAGTTCAAAATAATTTTTTTGTGGCTGATATTTTGAAATGGCTCTCTCAGCTCTAATAATAGCACTTTTTAAAATAAGTATACCTATAGTAAAGAAGATAGAGCTCTGAAAACTACATTTTCCAGCTTTTTAAGTTGAAGATGTGATCCAGATCTGCCAAGATGAGAAAAATGGTCGACAATCGGAAAGAAATATTATAAACACTTCTTTTCAGCTAAATGGAGATGGCATTGGGTTTCTCTGGGGCAGCTCTGTTTGACCCTGTACTTTCCTGTCCTGCAAACATAAAGTTAAGTAGCAAGAGAACGTGGAACACAATTTTCTGTATAAAATGTGGAGAGTGTTTGACTGGTTTTCTTTGTTTCTTCTGTTCCTTATTTAACCATAACCATATATTTAGTTTGTAGAAGCAAAACATTGCCTCTGTTTCATTATGTGACACCTCCTTGGAGGAACTGACTATGAATAAAAATAACAAAGGTAAAAAAGAATTAGGTCCTTGCAACAAGATAAATGCTGAACAAACTCAAGCTCAACTTTTCTTCGGTCCATCAGAGAAGTGAAGTCAGAACAAATCACTGAAAACTGCAGAGACAGGCAGATACAGAGAATGCACATCAACTTGCCTGATCTGTGAGAAACCACTGCAGCCAGTTCTTGATGGAAACCCTTAAATTATGATTTTATCAAGTTAGTGGAGATATGTGTGGACAAACTTGAGATCTAAAAACTCCCGGGGACCAGGCCTATAATGGGCCACCCATTTTCATGAGTTGTGCATCCAGGAGACCCACTACCTTCTCACAGTAAAATCAGAGAAAAAACCCCTCATGTTTATCCAGGGGGTAGAAATACTAACTATTTTGAATTACGACCAGGTGAAAAACAGCTATTATTTAAAAAGCCCAGGGAATTCTCACAACAAAATATTACTCAACAAGGAAATATACATCAATAAAATTACTGGATTGGGAGTTGAAAATTACCCAAGCAATTCTCACTCTAGCCTTTCTGTATTATCTGAGAAACATTAAAAATAAGAAAAAAATGCTGAGAAGTGCTTGCAAAGGTCAAAGCCCAGAGGCACAGAATTACTAAGACTGAGAACTAAGCAGGGAACTATAAACCCTTTCTCCCCCAACCCCAATCCCATAAACACACTTTTTCACCACGTCAACAGGACTCCTCCTTATTAACAGTGGACTACAGCTGAAACAGCTGCAGGGGACAGAATCTATTTATGAAAGAGTTTTTAGAAAATCCAAACACAACAATAGAAACAAAAACAAAGTTACATGAGGACATAGAAACCTCAGTCATTTAATGCCTGCAGAAAACAGTAAACACTGACTAACTCCTAGGCAGATACATTAGGTTGGTGCAAAAGCAATTGTGGCTTTGGCCATTTTTAAAAAGTCATGGCAACACCACAATTACTTTTGCACTAACCTAATACATAATACCTCATACTAAAGACCTATGTACTTCAGTTTCTATTACCTAATACCGATGCTCAGCTTTTAATAAAAAATTACAGGGACTGAGAAAAGATAAGAAGAAACACAATCTGAAAATGCAAAACAAGCTTTAAAATGAAACACAAATACGGCAGAGATTTTGGAATGATCAGACCAAGAATTCAAAATAGCTATAATTCATTGTCTAATGATTCTAATGGTAAAAGTGGACAATATTCAAGAATAGGAAAAAAAATACACACACATGAATAATATAAGCAGGGAGATGGAATCTCTAAGAAAGAAAGAAAAAAGAAATGCTAGAAATCAAAAGCACTGTAGCAGAAAATGAGGAGTGCTTTTGTCAGGTTTATCCATAGATTGAGCATGGCTGAGGGGAGAATAGTGAGCTGGAACATGTGTCAATAGACACTCCCTAGCCAAAATTAATGAGGAAAAAAAAAGAATAAAAATGGAGCAGAATATTCAAGAATTATGAGACAACTATAAAAGGTATAACATGTCTTTAATAATAATACCAGAGGAGGCTGGGCATGGTGGCTCACACCTGTAATCCCAGCACTTTGGAAAGCCAAGGCAGGTGGATCACGAGGTCAGGAGATCGAGACCATCCTGGCTAACATGGTGAAACCCCATCTCTACTAAAAATACAAAAAAATTAGCCGGATGTGGTGGCACATGCCTGTAATCCCAGCTACTTGGGAGGCTGAGGCAGGAGAATCGCTTGAGAACCCAGGAGGCGGAGGTTGTGGTGAGCCGAGATCGTGCCATTGCACTCCAGCCTTGGCAACAAGTGTGAAACTCCATCTCAAAAAAAAAAAGAATACCAGAGGGAAAAAAAAAGAAAAGACACAGAATTATTAAAAGTAATAATTAAAAATATTTCCAAAATTAGTGATAGAAAACAAGACACAAGTCCAAGAGTTGAGATAACACCAAGCAGGGTAAACAATGGCAATAACAACAATAATAAAATTAAACCGAAGGATACCATTTTCAAACTGCAGAAAACCAATATCAAAAAGAGAATCTTGTAAAAAGCCAGAGGGGATTTTTTTAAGGCCTTACCTGAAGTTGAGCAAGGATAAAAATTACATCAAATTTCTTTTCAAAATCAAATTTCTTTTCACAAACTATGCAAGCAATAAAAGTGCTGAGCAAAATATTTAAAAGCTTAAACCGACAAAACATACCAACTTTGAATTCTTTTTTCTTTTTTTTTTTTTTTTGAGACAGTCTTGCCCTGTAACCAGGCTGGAGTGCAATGGCACAATCTCGGCTCACTGCAACCTCTGCCTCCCAGGTTCAAGTGATTCTCCTGCTTCAGCCTCCCGAGTAGCTGGGACTACAGTCGCAAGCCACCATGCCCAGCTAATTTTTGTATTTTTAGTAGAGATGGGGTTTCACCATGTTGGCCAGGGTGTTCCTGATAGCTTGATCTCGTGATCCTCCCGCCTCAGCCTCCCAAAGTGCTGGGATTACAGGCATGAGCCACCACGCCCAGCCCAACTTTGAATCCAGCAAAAGTGAAGAAGACAGATGAACAAAAACTGAGGCAATTTGTCAATAGCAGAACTTTCTTTCATACAATGTTAAAGACTCTTCAGAGAGAAGAAAAGTGATACAAGTCAGAAACTTGAATCTACATAAAGAAAGAAAGTAGTAGAAAAAGAATACATGAAGAAAGGAAATAAAAACAAACAAACTGGATATTCAATTTGAGAAGTACTAGTCACAACCAAGAGAGAGGAGAAAGATACTGCCCTGGGGATGCCAGCTGACCCTGCCTAAAGGTGGCAGAACTCGACTCAGAAACAGCAAATGCTAATCAAAGCAGGAGAGAATGTAATGCTATCTGCAAATAATGAGAGTTTTATTTTTCCCTTCCTTTAGCTTTAAATAGTGCTTGTTTTAGTTTCTCTTTTCTAAATATGATATCTAGCAAAAAAAGGATCTAGTGATATTATAGTGTTTTAATACTTAATTACTTATTATAAATGCCTCGACATATTATCTCCTTAACACTGAGATAAAATATGATACACTTAGAGACAGACATATTTGGAAAATAATCAATACACTCATAACTATACAATTCTGTTGAGTATTCAACTTTATTCTTTATATTAATTTAAATTAGTTTCAGATGCTTGGGTAAACATATTTATCTCAAGAATAGGAAGTGAATTATTTGATTTATATGTCATTTAAACAGCATTTTGGAAATTCAAATTATTTTCTGTGGTATTGCTTTAAGATGCATTTCTTAGCACTTTTTATTAACATGATATATTCTACTATGAATGGTATTCTAGTATTTTGGAAATTTGCATGTACCTCCTAGTGTGTAGCACAGTGGTATTTTTGTGTTTTATTCAAGTTTATTTGTTGAAAAGTCCCCAATTGATTTTTTCACAAACATTAATCTGATGCATTTTCTGTAAGCAAAGTGAGCAACTTGAGGTAAATTAAGTAATATAGGTCATAAAATCACAACACATGATATTAATCTATAATTCACTGACTAGAATTTGATGGAAGACTATATTTTTATTAAAATCATTCATCTTGTTGATGACTAACTGACCATTGAAGGTCCCTAGTACATGATAAAAATTGGTTGAAGTAGCCATTTTATTTTAACAGTTTCATTGAGCATCACCTCTTCAATGACACAGAATAATTATTTTTCACCCCAAGTGGCATTCAAGATATTGGAAGGGATGTGATTTATTAAGTTATTTTTAACAAGCTTAAAGTGATGATTTTAAAATAAATGAATATTAACTTATTAATTCACCCTCTTCTATGTACTAATAGTCATGGGGAAAGAAAGGATCATACTACAATATTTGGTTGATAGCAGAAACACAGAAATTCACTCAGGCAACTGAGCATATTTTTATGTTACATGGGCCTAATTTATGAACCCTCATTATCTTCAGATAAAATGACAATTCAAAGCTAGCACACAATTTTATATATATTGAATTCGATTTTTCCTAAGTTACCGTATTTGTGCTATTCAGGATATCTTTATTTAATATAACTCTTGCTGACATTTTATTTAGATTTTTATTTTATTTTATTTTATTTACACTTTTACTAAAGGCTAAAAACAAATTTCTTCAAACTATTTGCTACAGAATAAATGTGCATGTTGTCTCTTAGCCTCATTCTGGAATTAGATATTTCTTAAAATTTCAAAAATCTATTGATGGTTGATTACATTATTTTACTTTTCTTTACTCACGGTGTATGCACAGCATATTTGACAATGCCTCATCCCTCTTGTAGTGAAAACAAAATGAAGATGTAGATCAATTATTCAGTGAATTAGCTGGACTTGAAACTGAAATTAATGGATTTATATCACCATAAAGGGAAATCTCCAGTGCTTTTATTTCTTTTTTTTTTTTTTTTACAAGATTCTTTCCTTATTCCTGTCCTAGTCAATATAGTTTTCAGGAAGATGAAGATATAGATGTCATGCCCATGAGCTTTGTCTCTTACATAAAGCTCAAAACCTAGTGCCACAGTGATATTTCATCAAAATATAAGTTCTTCAATTGGCAGAAACCATTTTTCTGGAATGCACATTGTATTGCCGCAGTTTGGTAGATAGTAGTAGGTTCTCAGTAAATATTTGTTGAATTAATTAATCTACAAGAGCAATGAGAATATAAAGAGAATTGATATGTGTCATACGGCTAATGATAATAGAGTCTTAAATAGTATGTTTTGCCCTAAGGGGAAAAAAGATTTAAAAGGCGTAATATTTACCCCACAATATCCAGAAAGTTGTTCTTGAAAAGTACAATAAGGTTTTCTATTGATGCCCTTTGGCTGGTCAATAGCCTCAGCAAGGTCTTTGATTTTAACATGATTAGACACTTTCTGATAGGGTGGTCTAAAAAAATTACATAGCTGCCTAATATGAACAAGCTATTATTGAATGATATTTAAGGAAAGTCCCCAGGTTAAACATAGTAGTAAGCTTTAAGCAATGTTAAAGGATAAACTGAATATTTATGTACTTTAAAGTTCTCATATTATATGATTATATTATAGTCGTACAGAGTCTAACTCCACCACCATATCAAGCAATTATTGATTTTATGAAGTACCTAACAGTAACAGTTTTTCAATTAAATTATAGCTTTTGGGAGTCATATGTATTTGATAAAACACTTGGTTACATAGTCAATATTTTACCCTAGTAGTTATGAAAATTACATTATAACTGTTGCATAAAACCAAACGTTTTACTGTTTTTAAAACTAATCATGAGACTATTGTTTAGAATACTAAAAATCAAGAAGCAAAGTGAAAAGGCAATGAAATAAAACTAATCATATTTAAAAATATGTAGGGACTATTTTTTTCATTATTGTTAACATTATTACAAAGATACACTAAAAGGACATTGACTTTGGATGATTGTGTTTTATCTGTGAAGCCCTTAGTTAATGTTACTGAAAATTTAAAAATTAGTTTGTTTAATTTTAAAAATTGTATGTATAGTCTAATATCCCAGTATAAAAACAAGGCAAATATTAATAAAGTCATAAACAAAGAAAAATCTGTAATCCAACTTATACATTACATAAACTTACACAGGAAACAAAAGTATCATATTTAAATGAGAAATTTGTAACAACTACTAGCATTGCAAACTGAAAAAAGATTTATGTTGTATATTGTGTTAATTTACATCAGAAATCATTTCTAAAAGATGTCTAATATACAGCAGATTTTAAATCCTCAAAATATTTGTTTTTTTCTGCAAAATTAAACATAGATGAATTAAGACAATGTGAATGTTTCCTGTTATATTCACTTTTCAGATTAAAAAAAAGGTAGATGTACTTTTAAGAGAGCAATGAAAAATTAGGGAATATTTTTGTAATTTGATAGTGTTATCACAGTAAATTGCCATGCATAATAATGTTCTTATTGTGAATATTGTACATAACCATAAAATATTTTATTTAAAACACTTCTAATTTGTATTATATTAAAAATTTAGAGAGCATCTTTTTGCATTTTTTCTTAATATGGATATAAATTGTTTTACTATATGCTCATCTCACTGAGGACAGTGATAATATTTAATATATCCTATCACCTAAAATTTTAATCTGCCTCCGTTATTCAGCGTGCATACTCAGAGGTTTTGGAGAAGAGAGGAAACCACACTGGTTTTAAAGAATGTTTACAATGCAAAATTTTCACCTAAAATTTTAGATAAAGGTAACTAAACTAGAAAGTCACTCATTCACGTAAAGCTCTAAAATTTCCCCAAGAATAAAATCAAATAATGCATAGAATTCTGTTAACATATTTATAAGTAAAATATAAAGTGAAAATGTCAAAATTATTTGATAATTTGCCTAATTGGGTGGCATAAGATGGATAGTGTAGAATTTCAAATCTCACTTTGGGGTCAGTTGATCTAGTTGATAATATTTTACAGTGCATATTAACTATCACTTTCAAGATCCTTTGCCAGACTCAAGGTCTAGTTCTGGGATAATGTAGCCCATCAGCGAAGGCTAACACTTCAGAGGGTCAGCTGAGAAACTCTATGGTCACATTTAAAGAAACCAGCTTTTCTAGATAACCCCAGTTCGGAAAAATTGACATGAACAGATGTTGTGTGTGTGTGTGTGTGTGTGCGCGCGCTATTCTTCTTTCATGTCCTTTGCTAAGCTACAATGACTATGTTGTTCATAATAGTAGCAAACAAAATACAATAAATATAAAAGTTATTTTTTGTATCAGTAGTACTATTAGCATTGTTATTATAGCTGCTATATATTAAGTGACTGTAAATCCCCAAGGGCATTAACAATTGACCATTTGTGGATAACAGGACTGACAGCAGAAGAATTTCTATAACTCTCACAGGGTTACAAAATTAATAAATTATTGAATCTGATTTTAAAATGTTATTTTGTTTGTTTTAATTTCAACTTTTATTCTAGATACAGGATTACACATGCGGATTTGTTACATCAGGGAATATTGCCTGATGCTGAGGTTTGGGGTAGGGATCCTGTTACTCAGATAGTGAGAATAATACCCGACAGGTAGTTTTTTTAACCCAACCCCTACTTCTTCCACTCTCTAGTAGTCCTCAGTGTCTATTGTTCTCATATTTATATCCATGTGTGCTCAAAAACTAGCTCACATTTGTAAGTGAGAAGATGTGGTATTTCGTTTTTTGTTCTTGCATTAAATTTGCTTGGGATTATGGCCTCCAGCTCCATCAATGTTGCTGCAAAGAACATGGTTTCATTTCTTTTTATGGCTGCATAGTATTCTGTGGTGTGTGTATACCATATTTTCTTTCAATCTACCATTAATAGGCACCTGAGTTGATTCCATCTTCGCTATTGTGAATAGTGCCGCAATTAACATACAAGTGCATGTTTCATTTACGTATTTTAGCACTTCATCCTTTTGTCTTCTATTTCAATCAATTTAAAATACTGTATACAAAGAAATATTTTATTGGCAGAACAAGTTTATACATAATCTTGGCATTAATTTTAAGCACAATATTTAATCATATTTTTCTGAATAATTGTTCCTAAAATTGTAATATTAATAATCATTCTTATAGATATAACTCTACCATTGATATATTTCATTTTTATAAAAGACATTAAATTGAATCTAGCCTAAAAGTGACATTCTATAGACTAGAGAAAGGTGGAGTAACTTACCAAAGTTCTGTGAATTATGGAAATGGAATACTCAGTCAGAGCCATGTAAACGATACTGAGATATGTTAGAACACTTTGTGGCTTTGCATTGCCGAGTCTGTCCTGCAGACTCTGGCCGAGTGACAGATAAAAGAAGTACACTGACACAGGTACACAAAGGTATTTTGTCTGACAGTGTGGCTAGGGGACCACACGGCTTAGCACCGCGGACAAAAGTGCTGCCCCCATAAGCTGGCCCCGCTCACATTTATTTAGTACAGACTTAATGACAAAGGCTTGGAGTGAACACAATTTGTGGGTAATAAACATTGTTGACCCCTCAAGTAGAGAGCAGTCCTGCACACGAATGATCAAAGGTTGGTTTCTGGAGACAGGAGTAAACAAATTTATCTATATAATTCCTTTACATTCCTTTGTTATCTGCCCTTTGCTTTCAGCCTCCACATAAGAGAATTTGGCTGCCTTCAGCTATAATTCTCTTCCAAAGCTTTTGCAAAGCCTCCTGGCCTTCCAAGAAGGTTTGCATCTTTCCCTATAACTTTTTCATATAACTTTTCCCACCACCCTGACCGATGTCCTACACACATATTCCTGAATTCTAAAGCAAACATAAAGAATTATACAATGCATGATGTAAAGCCCATATTTTTGCAGGACTATATAAATGAATTATTTTTTAAATTTAAAATGAATACTGGTTAGGTTTTTGTGTCTTATAAGTAAAGCAGCTGGAATGGCTATTGAAATATATAATTATAGTATACTTTTGTCAGGTATATTTAATTTACATTAACATTTACTAAATTTGTAATACCAGAGTATTAGTAAGTTATGTCACTCAAAATTCCCAGGAAAAAAGAAAACTTCAGGTCAATATCTCTGATGAAGACAAATAAAAAAATCCTCAACCAAATACTAGCGAACTGTATTCAGCAGTACATCAAAAAGTTAATACACCACAATCAAGTAAGCTTTATTCTTGTGATGCAAGACTGATTCAACATATGCTAATCAAAAATGTGATACATCGCATAAACAGAATTAAAAGCAAAACCATGATCAACTCAATAGATGCAGGGAAAAAGTTTTCTATAAAGTCTAACATCAACTCATGATAAAAAAAACTCTCAAGAAACTATGTATTGAAGGAATATATGTCAGAATAATAAAAGCCACTCATAAAAATTTCATAGCCATAAATGGGCAAAAGCTGGAAGCATTCCCCTTGAGAACTAGAACATGACAAAAATGCCCACTCTCATCACTCCTATTCAACACAGTACTGGAGCTCCTAGCCAAAGCAATCAGGCAAGAGAAAGAAGTAAAGACATCTAAATGGAAAAGAAAAAGCCAAGCTATCTCTCTCTTCTGAGAATATGATTCTATACATTGAAAATCCTAAAGATTCCACCATGTAATTCCTAGAACTGATAAACAATTTCAGTAAAGTTTTAGAATACAAAAATCAATGTAAAAAAATCAGGAGCATATCTATATACTAATACCAGCAAAGCTGAGAGTAAAGTCAAGAACATAATTCCCATAATTCCATTAATAATAGCCACAAATAAAATGAGATACCTAGGAATACAGGTAACCAAAGAAATGAAAAATTTCTACAAGGATTACACAAAACACTGCCAAAAGAACTCAAATATAACATAAATAAATGGGAAAACATCCCATGCTCATGGAATGGAATAATCAATATTATTAAAATAGCGATACTGCCTAAGCAGTCTACAGAGTCAACACTATTCCTATCAATCAACTAACACAATTTTTACACAGTTATAAAAAATCTATTCTAAAACTCACATGGAACCAAAAAGAGCCAAATAGCCAAAGCAATCCTAAGCAAAAAGAACAAAGCTAGAGGAATCATGTTACCCAACTTCAAACTGTACTATGAGGCTGTAAACAAAGCAGCATGGTACTGGTATAAAAACAGGCACATAGACCAATGGAACCAAATACAGAGTCCAGAAATAAAGCTGCATACCTACAAACTTATGATTTTCAACAGGGCTGACAAAAACAAGCAATAGGGAACAGATTATCTATTCAACAAATAGCTCTGGGATAACTGACTAGCTGTATGCAGAAGAATAAAAATGGACCTTAATTTTTCACTATATACAAAGGCTAACTCAAAATGAATCAAACATTAAATGTAAAACCTCAAAGTATAAAAATCCTTGAAGAAATCCTAGGAAACACCATTCTAGTCACCAGACTTAGCGAAGAAATTTTGGCTGAGTCGCCAAAAGCAATTGCAACAAAAACAAATGTTGACAAGAGGGACCTAATTAAACAAAAGCAATTCAGCACAGGGAAAGAAACTATAAACAGAGCAAAGAGCAAACCTACAGAATGGGAGAAAATATTCAAAAAGTATGCAACCTAATGTAAACAATATATACGGAATGTAAACAAATCAACATTCAAAAAGTAAATAATCCCATTAAAACAAGGGCAAAGTACATGTACAAGCCCTTCTCAAAAGAAAACATACAAGTTACCAACAAACATATTTTTTAAATGTTCATGACCACTAAGCATCAGATAAATGCAAATCAAAACCTCAATGAGATACCACCTCACCCAAGTTAATATGGCTATTTTTCAAAAGTCAGTAAAGAACAGATGCTGGCAAGGCTGCAGAGAAACAGTGTATACCTATACACTGTTGATGGGAATATAAATTAGTTCAGCCACTGTGGAAAGCAGTTTGGAAATTTCTCAAAGAATTTAAAACAGAATTGCCATTTGACCCAGCAATCTCATTACTGGGTATAAGGAAAATAGATCATTACACCAAAAAGGCACATGCAGTTGTACATTCATCACCACACTATTCACAATGGCAAAGATATGAAATCAACCTAGGTGCCCATCAATGGTGGCTTGGATAAAGAAAATGTGGTACATATATCCCATGGAATACTACACAACCATAAGAAAAAAATGAAATCATGTCCTTTGCAGCAATATAGATGGAGCTGGATGCCATAATATTATACTAAACGAATTAAAACAGGAACAGAAAACTATATCTTGCATGTCCTCACTTATAAGTGGAAGCTAAACATTGAACACACATGGACATAAACATAGGAATAACATACACTGCAAACTACTAGAGCAGAGAAGGAGAAAAGGATATGGGTTGGAAAACTACATATTAGGTATTATGCTCACTACCTGGGTGCAATATACATATGTAAGAAACATGCACATGTACCTCTTTTATCTAAAATAAAGTTAAATTTTTTAAAAAAAGAAATAAACCTTAAATTTATAATCAATTCATTTTGACAAGTGTACCAGCTCAATTTAAGAAGATAAATATTGATCTTTTCCACAAATTTTGTTCAGATAACAGGATATTCACCTGCCTAAAAATGAAGTTGGACCTTTTTGTCACACCTTACACACAAAAAAACTCAAAGTAAATTATACACACAACTGTAAAAGCTAACCTTATAAAATTATGAGTCATAAATATGGGAGTAAATCTGCATGACTTTGGTTAACGCAAAGCTTTCTTCCAAATGACATCAAGAGCATGACCAACAAAAACAATAACAATTTGATAAATTGAAACTCATCAAAATTAAAAAATTTTACTTCAAAGGATGCAACGAAGAAAATGAAAAAGAACAACCAATATTTGAAATTGTATTTAGCTAGGGGGAATTAAATCTAGAATATTTAGAAGATTCAACTCAATAAAAAAAAATGATCCATTAATAAAGGGGCAAAAGATGGAAATAGATATTTCTTCAGAGAAGTTAGAGTTACCACGTGACTAAGCAATTCACTTCTAGTTAAATTTCTAGAGAAGTTGAAATGTATGTCTACACAAAAATTCATACATGACTGTTTATAAGTATATTTATAATAACCAAAAAGTGGAAATATGCATTAGTTGATGCATAGATAAATAATAGGTATAATGTCTATTGTATGGATTAGTGTTTAAAATGATAAGTAATGATGAAATGATATATACCACAACATTGATGTGCCTTGTAAACATTATGGTAAATAAAAGAAACCAGTCCTCAAAATTCATAATTGTCTCATTCTGTTTATATGTAATGACTAAAATAGGCATATCTATAGTGACAGAAAGTTGCTAAGGTGAGGAAGGGGGATGACATAGGGTTAGTGATAATGTGTACTGGATTTTTTTTTTTTTTTGCCATGATGAAAATATTCCTAAGCTCATGGTGATGGTGGCTCAACTCCTTGAATATAACAAAAAACACTGAATTGTGTAAATGAGTGAAAAACATAGTAAGTACATTATATTTTAATATGGCCATGAAAATGAATGATATATAATGATACATAGTAAATATCAAAAGGAAAAATGTCTAACTCCATTTACTCCATTTGGGAACATCTGATACATTATCTTTCTGAGTTACTTACCTTTTTAAATTTTTTTTTCTTTTTTTTTTTTGAGGCGGAGTTTCACTCTGTCACTCAGGCTGGAGTGCAGTGACGCAATCTCAGCTCACTGCAACCTCTGCCTCCTGGGTTCAAGAGATTCTCCTGCCTCAGCCTCCCTAGTAGCTGGGATAGCTGGGATTACAGAGCCTGCCACCATGCCCGGCTAATGTTTTTGTATTTTTAATAGAGATAGGGCTTTGCCATGTTGGCCAGGCTGGTCTCAAACTCCTGACCTCAGGTGATACGCCTGCCTCAGCCTGCCAAAGTGGTAGGATTACAGGCATGAGCCACCACGCCCAGCCTACATTTTTAGTTTTTTTTTTTAAATTTAGTAATATGTGTAAGAGCTCTTTTCATATTATCATGAACAATTGTACTACCTAATTTTAGTGTCTACTCAGTATTACTTGCTATTTTATTTTAGCTGCAACACAAGCTCTGTAACAAGTGACTTGATTATGAATCTTTAGACTTCGCTCCAGACTTATACTGTTACTACAAATAGAAACTTTGTTCATGTGTGTATATGTGTAGGTAATATTTGTGGTCAAGTGTATTAGATGAATAAGTTTATTTACTCAAACTAAAAGATATATGGGATAATTCCCAGAAGATGACGGAGTACAACGCACCAAGAATCTGTCCTTCCAACCAGGAAAACTTGTAGTCAGACTCTGCTGTAATGTTTTTGAAACTCTGGAGTCTTTTGAGGCTTTCCATTTCCAGACTTGCATCATAAACTCAGGCTAATTTCAGTCAAATTTAGCTCAACACAGTTCCAGCTACTATACTTCCATGTTAGGCACAATAACCAGATAAAATAGACATTAAATCAAAAAGATTACAGGAGACAAAGAAATATATTGTATAATAATAAAAGGTTCCATACATAAAGAAATAAATATAAAAGTCACAAACATTTACACCATCATTACATGATGGCATCACTACATGAGGCCAAAATAATTTAACAGACCATCAAAATGTATAAAGCAAAACTGACAAATTGAGGGTGAAATACACAGGCCTACAATAACAGTTGGAAATTTCAGTATCTCACGCTCAATACTGAATAGAATAACTGAATAGAATATAAGAAAGCAAATAGAGAACTTTAGACATAAAACAGCAATATATATATATATATATACACATATATAAAATGTGTATACACATTTATATATACACATTATATGTGTATATATACTATGTATACACATATATATACATATATATATACACATATATAAAATATATATATATACACATATATAAAATGCTCTACCTAACAACAGCATACATATTTTTCTCAAGTGCAGTGGACATTTTCCAGGATAGATCTTATGCCAGGCCTCAAATTAAGTCTTGATAGATTTTTTTAAAAAACAGATATCACACAAAGTATGTTCTCCAATCACAATGGATGAAATTAGAAATCTGTAACAGAAGTAAAACTGGAAAATTTAAAAAACTGTGAAAATTAAACAGCACACTCTTTAACTACCAATTGATTAAAGAAGACATCACAAGGGAAATGAGAGATGAAGACAAATGAAAATACAAGCCACCAAAACTTATGGGACACATAAAAAGCAGTGCTCAGGGGGAAATTTATAGCTATAAATGCTTACATTAAAAAAATCTAAAATCAACAAGTTACCTTTACAACTTAAGAAATTAGAAAAAGAACAGCTTAAACCCAAAACAGAACGAAGGAGATAAATATTAGAACAGATAAAAAAAATAAGAGAAAAGAAAAACAATAGAGAAAATCAGTGAAACTAAAAGCTGTTTTACTTTGTTTTGCTTTTGCAAAGATTGACAAAACTGGAAAACCTTATTCAGATAGACTAAAGAAAAAAAACATATAGAGAAAAGACTAAATTACTATAATAAAAAATGAAAACCGGGACATTACTACTGATTCTATAGAAATAAAAAAAGACCATAAAGGAGTACTACAAACATCTATGTACCAAGTTCAATAAGCAAGATGAATAGACAAATTCCAAGAAATACAAAAGCTATTGAAATTAATCATAATGAAATAGAAAATGTGAATAGGCCTGTACCTAATAAGGAGATTGAGTCAGTAATTAAAAACCTCCCAACAAAGAAAAGCTCTAGGCCTCATAGCCTTACAGGTGAATTCTACCACACATTTAAAGAATACCTAACAAATCTTTCTCAAACTTTTTCAAACACTTGAATAGGAGGGAACACTTCCTAGTTTATTCTTTGAGGCCAGCATTACCTTGATACCAAAGCTGGAAAAAGATACTACATGAAAACTACAGACTAATATTTTTTTCATAAACATTGATGAAAAAAATCCTCAACAAAATAATAATAAACTAAGTTCAGCAGCATATTAAAAAGATGATACAACAAGACCAGGTGGGATATTTTTCCTGGAATGCAAGGGTGATTCAACATATTAAAATCAATTATTTCCTTGATAATTAGTGATGCTGAGCATTTTTTTTCATAAGTTTTTTGGCCATTTGAATGTCTTCTTTTGAGAATTGTCTGTTCATGTCCTTTGCCCACTTTTTGATGCAAATCAAAACCACACTGAGATACTACGTTACTCCTGCAAGAATGGCCATACTTTAAAATATCAACAAATAATAGATTTTGGCATGGATGTGGTGAAAATGGAACGGAACACTTTACACTGCTGGTGGGAATGTGAAAATGTGAACTAGTACAACCACTATGGAAAACAGTATGGAGATACCTGAAAGAACTAAAAGTAGAACTACCATTTGATTCAGCAATCCCACTACTGGGTATCTACCCGGAGGAAAATAAGTCATTATATGATAAAGACACTTGTACATGCATGTTTATAGTAGCACAATTCACAATTGCAAAAATATGAAACCAGCCTAAATGCTCATCAACCAATGAATGGATAAAAAATGTGATATATATATATATGAATAGTACTTAGCCATAAAAAGGAATGAAATAATACCATTTGCAGCAACCTAACTGAAGTAACTCAAAAATGGAAAATCAAACATCATATGTTTTCACATATAAGCAGCAGCTAGGCTGTAAGGATGCAAACGCATACAAATGATACAACGGACTTTGGGGACTTGGGGGAAAGAGTGAGAGAGAGTGAGGGATAAAATTTTACACATTGGGTACAGCGTATACTGCTTGAGTGATGGGTGAACCAAAATCTCAGAAATTACCACTAAAGAACTTTTCCATGCAACCAAACACCAGCTGTTCCCCAAAACTATTGAAATAAAAATAAAAATAACTAAAATCAATATAATGAACCACATTGAGATAAAAGAAAAAAAAGCACATGATCATTCCAATTGATGCAGAAAAAGCATTTAACAAAATGCAATAATTTTTCACAATAAAAAGCACTCAGAAAATTAGAAATATTATAAAACTACCTTATCATAATCAAATTCATATATGAAGATCCCACAGTTAACACTGTATTAGGCAATGGTGAAAAAATAAATGCCTTTTCTCTAACATCAGGATCAAAATAAGTCTGCCTGCTTTCATCACTTCTATTCAACATATTACCAAAAGTTATAGTCAAAGGAATTAACCAGAAAAAGAAAAGAGAAGAAATGGCATTTGAATTGAAAAGGAAAAAAGCAAAATTATCTCTGTTCACAGATGATATACTCTTAATTGTAGAAAATACTAAAGGCTTTACACATAAAAAAGAGCTAGTAAAAAAAGGTTCCACACATAAAAAAATAGAGCTAATAAAAAAATCCAGCAAAATAGCAGAATTCAAATCAACACATAAAAATCAGTTGCATTTCTACACACTAACAATAAACAATCTGAAAATAAAATGTAAAAACAATTATATTTGTAATTGCATTGAGAAGAATAAAATATTTAGAAATTAACTTATCCAAGGAGGTAAAAGATCTATACAGTGAAAACTAAAACTTTACTGAAAGAAATTAAACAAGTAAATCAGAATATCTCTTCCTCACAGATTGAAAGACTTCATATTGTTAAGATATCACTGTTACCCAAAGCAATCTACAGATTCAATGCAATCCCTATCAAAATCCCTTTTTTAGACATAAAAAAAACCCACCCAAAAACGTCTACAGAATCTCAACAGAACACAAATTATTCAAAATAATATTGAACAAAAAGAACAAAACTTGAGGACATATGCTTCTTGATTTCAAAAACTACTACAAATTTAGCAATTAACAGTGTGGTACTGGCATAAAGACAGAAATATAGACCAATATAAAAGAAATAAACTCTTGCATATAAGCCCAAATTATATTTGTCAATGATGTTAAGATTATTCAATGTGGAAAGTACTGTTTTTTTTCAGCAAATGGTACTGAAAAAATTAGATACCCACATGCAAAATAATAAAGTTGAAACCTTACCTAACACCATACACAGATATTGACTCAAAGTTGATGAAAGACCTAAATGTGAGACCTAAAACAATAAAACTCTTAAAGAAAACATAGGACAAAATTCATTACATTGAATTTATCAATGATGTCTTGGATAAGACACCAAAGAAACAGGCAACAAAGTAAAAAAAAAAAAAATTAAAAATTGGACGTCGTGAAAACTAAAAAAAAAGTGCATAAAATGCAGTATGAACAAAGTAAAAAAGCAACATACAGAAGAAAAGGAAATATTCACTGTTCATATATTTGATGAAGTTAATATTCATGTATAGAGGACCTAAAACTCAACAATAAAAATACAAACAATCTGATTCACAAATGGGCAAAGGAGGGGCCAGGCGCTGTGGCTCATGTCTGTAATTTGAGAACTTTGGAGGCCGAGGTGGGTGGATCACTTGAGGTCAGGAGTTCAAGACCAGCCTGGCCAACACGGTGAAACCCTGTCTCTACTAAAAATAATTAAATAGATAAATACAAAAATACAAAAATTAGCCAGGTGTGGTGGCGCACAGCTGTAATACCAGCTACTCAGGAGGCTGAGGCCCTAGAATAGCTTGGACCCAGGAGCCAGAGGTAGCAGTGAGCTGAGATCACGCCACTGTGCTTTCCAGCCGGGGTGACAGAACGAGACCTTGTCTCAAAAAATAAAATAAAATAAAATAAAAATAAAAATGGGCAAAGGACTTGAATACACATTTCCAAAGAAGACTCACATGTGGCAACAGGCACCTGAAAAGATGCTCAATTATAGGGTAAATGCAACTCAAAACTACAAGATGACACTTTACACTCATTAGGATGGCTACTATTTAAAACAAAAACAGAAACAGAAAATGTGCTGTAAAAAATGTGGAGACATTGAAACATGTGTGCACTGTTGGTGGTTATATAAATAGTGCATCCACTGTAAAAACAGTTGGGTGGTTCCTCAAAAAACCAAAGATAGAATTATCACGTAATCCAGCAATTCCTCTTCTGGGCATGTATCCAAAAGAAATGAAAGCAGGGTCTTCAAAACATATTTGCGTACCCACGTTCATGGCAGCATTACTCACAATAGCTAAACAATGGAAGCAACCCAAGGTGTTGATGGTGAGAGTGGAATAGATGAATAAAATGTGATATATACATATAATGGAATATTATTCACCCTTAAGAAGGAACAGATTCTGACATACACTATAACATGGATGAATCATGAGGACATTATTCTGAGTGAAATAAGTCAGACATAAAAAGACAAACAGTGTATGATTCCACTTATATGAGTTATTTAGAATTATCAAAACCATACAGGCAGAAAATAGATGGATTGATACCAGGAACTGGGGAGGAGAGGAAAATGGTGAGTTATTGCTAAATGGCTATAGAATTTCAGTTTTATTAGAGGAAAGGGTTATGGAGAAAAATGGTGATATGGTTGCACACTATGAATGTGTTTAAAACCAGAGAACTATATACTTAGAAATGCTTAACTAGTATATTTTATATTATGTGTATTTGCTTCAATAAAATATTGGGAAAATAACTTATGTGTGAACTTCTAAAATACTGCCAAATATTTTTAAAGAAATACCCTCAAATACTATCACAGTAACATGAGTGCCTGTGCACCTGTTTGTCTACAACCACAAGCTACTATTGGATAATTGCAATTCTTTGTTCCCAGCATTCATATCTTCCATCAACAAAGAAAAATACACATACAGTGTAGGAGAAGCAATTTATAATCACTGCAGAAGTCAGAACATAATACTCCAGATGGACTTGGACAAGTAGTATATCTCATTCATTTTACAGTGCTTTATTCCTGATGTGAAGATTATGTAATCAAAATCAGTAATGTTGGTGAAGTACTTCTTTCCCATTTCACAAGATTCCATAAAGAAACATTTTGCTAAACTTTCCTGGCCTCTTATTCCTCTAACCCTTTCTTCTATGAGTTAGTAAATTAAATAATTATGACTGGAAAGTGGAACTGGGCATTAGTTTCTCAGTCTCAATTTCCGTTCTCTTGAAAGTTGATTATCAGCAGATAATACATATTTTAATTTTTTTTCTCCATTATTTGATATTTAAGGGAAAGACAATGATGAGAGGAGGAATACCAATTTCTATAGCTGCCTATTTCTAGATAGATATTCCAGTTTAATTCTAGGGATTAAAATTGGAAAAATATATATATTTTTGCTCAGATACCTAATCTTCATTTTTATTTTTTTTAGTTGTGATACAACAGATATTATGGTAATTTCCAGTCTTCCTATTTTGTATTTTTTTAATTGACAACCAATATATTTTTAGTTGAAAGAATCAAATGTTACCAATGTTATGGAATATAACACAATGTGAAATATCTACAATGTAAAATAAATTAACAAATAAAACTCATATTATTCACTGCTAAACAGAAGTAATCCTCAATTATAGGCCATCTACCTACATTCAGAAAAAATTTAAATGTCACTGTTTGCATATGCAGACACAGAAAATTTGAATGGATCAATGCGCATAACAGAAAGAAAAATCTTTCCTCTCTAAGAGCCTAAGTATACAGGATTTCATTACTTACACCATACAAAACAGACAAGTAAGAATGGTTACCTAACGTATTTTATGACGCTAATACAAATTTAACTCCCATAATGGTTTATGAAAATGTTGGAACCAAAATTATAAAAATATTTAGCTAGTGAAGATAAAATATCTTGAATATAACATTTGTTGAATAAAAATATAAATAAGATAAAAATCATGAAAATATAAATTGATAGCAAAAATTCAAATATAGTTTAAAGCAGAAAATTCATCAGTAAAATTCAAAATGGAAATACAGTAATGAGAAAGCTGGGTTATGGCCTTAAAGGAGGGTAAGTTTTGATAAATAAATAAATATTTACATGTATATACACATATGCAGCAAAATACCCTTAATGGAGAAACTTTCATTTACTTTTCCTTTAAGTCTAAGAACAAAATAAGAATACCTGTAAAGTTACTAATCATAGTACCATTACACTAAAAATACAAAACAGAAAGCACTAACAGTTCAAAATTTATATAAAGAATTAATCATTTTTAAGAAATATGAAAGAAGATCTGAAAAACAGATAGCCCATGCTCCTGGATAGGAAAACATAATATAAAATTGTCAATTTCCTCAACTTAATATACACATTTAATAAATTAAAATTAATTTTTAATTTTGTGAGGACCTCAACAAACTACCCTATTCATTAGTAACCTAAACAAGCAAACATTTATTGTGTTTTCTGAGAGCTTCTCCCTTTCTAGTCTGAGCTTGACTGATTTTGGCAATTGTCTGGGATGGCATCCATCAGCTAAAATATCTTGGCTCTGCTATATGTGCTCTCTTATCATTTGTGACGCTAGAAAAAGCCTTGTTTTCACGTTCAAAAAAGGAGAAAAAAGCAGGCTGTAATGTGCAAGTCCGCCTGATTCTGAGGCTCTGAATTGGCACATTTTTATATCTGTTTCATTCTGGTGGCCAAAGCAAGTCACAAAGTAATCCTAGAGTCAAGAAATAGAAAAATAAGCTCCAAAATCTTAAATTAAGAAGGCGCAAAGTCATTTTACAATGGCTGTAGTTTCAAGGAGGGAAATAATTGGAGGAAATTTTCTGATTAATCGGCCATAAAGGGAATAATAAAAGTTTGTAAATAGTAAAATAAAATATGAACAAAAATAGCAAATGCAGGGGATTTATACTACCTGATAGCAAAATAATATACAATTCCATCATAGTAATACTTACGATTATTCTTACTAGCTCAAAAATACACAAATAGATGAATGTAAGCAAAATGGAGAATTCTGAAATAGATTATATATGTCATATATGTAATTGAGGTTTTATAAATTTAGCATTACATATTAACAAATTATAAACTGGTGCATGTTCTTAGAAAACAGTATGCCTTTATGCAGAAAAATAAAACAAGGAAATATGTATATTTAACAAAAACCATACACAAAGGTAGATACCGGATGTTTTAAATAAGTTAATTGAAAATACAAATACTAATTGGCTTATCAGTCCAATGAGGGATGAGAAGGACACCAGAATTACCTTTTGAGACAGGAATAGCACTGAGTAGTCACAGGAGGATGGAAAAACACAAACAACAGCTAAAATGAGAAGTAAGCAAAGAAACTACAAGATAACAGAAAACCCAAAATATGCAAGAGAAAATGGCCAAAATTGTGGTCAGGGGGACATCTCCATGACTGTTCCAGAAAAATCAAAACAAGGAAGAAAGTGGTCAGGAATGGGGGTCATGAAATCCCCTGCTTTTCCAGAATAACTAATGATTATTATACCCCCAAATTAAAGAAATACTCTAAAATAGGAATGCTTGGTGGTCACAGGGGAGGCAGGAAAATATCAAGCTGTAATTTCAGAAAACAATAAGAAACGAGCTGTTAAAATTAGCTACGAGGACAAGGAAGAGACTGATTGACAAGACTCTAACAGAAAGGACAGGAGCTGAGCTGATTGAGACAAGCTAGGTCCATTATGGCCCTTGATATGACCCATGCCCTACCTCAGACCTAATTACACACTAAATCAGAAACTCACCAGTGCCATGACAGATCTCAGCATGGCCATATTTTGTTTAAAAATGGGTGACACCTCAATTCTAATAAAACTTCACTTTTTTTCCTAGAAAACCTCATGGTTACTCTATCCCCTGGTTAGAAGAGCCCATAAAATTAGAAACCCAAACTCCATTATGCACTACTCACGCCTCCAAGTATGCCCACACTCTGCTCTTGAGTGTGAATGGGTTTTGTACTCAATGTGTACTTTTGCTTGGCAATAAAAGCTTGTTGCCTTTTGCTTCATTCTGACTCATCTCTGAATTCTTTCTCTGGATACTGGCTGGGGGTGGTGTCTCACTGGCATCTGGAGACACTCTTGAGCTCTCCAGCAACATTTTGATAAAATGTTTACCTGCTTTGTGAATTCATTATTGTTCAGATAACCTGTATGGTTTGTTCTTGCTTTAAATCTAAGTCTGTGTCTATTAACATTTTATTCTCTATCATTATCATTGTCTCACTTTTGTCATGGTTGGCTATTTGAAAGTACACTTTATAAGTTCTCCTTGTAAGTATTAGTAAAAACATTTTACAACAAAGTTAAAAAGCAGGCTACACATCACTCCATATTTTGAATGCTTAATAATATATCGGTATCATTTATCTGACATATTTACATTGAAAATGTGACTATTAAACAGTGGTTAAAATCCAACAAACTATCCCTATGACATGTATTTGAATCTTCAGTTTAATAATGATGGTAAGTAAAACGTTTTATTGTTAACCACAAATATATACGGAACTTTCAGCAACCTCCATTGTTGCCTCCTCAGAAGAAAGAATGCGACTGAGGGGCATAAGGCAGAAAGAGGGACCAAGGCAAGTTTTAGAGAAGGAGTGAAAGTTTATTAAAAAGTTTTAGGTCAGGAATGAAAGGAATAATGCATGCTTTAAAGAGGGCCAAGCAGGTGACTTGAGAGATCAAGTACACAGTTTGACCTTTTGACTCGGGGTTTTATATATTGGCATGCTTCCAGGTTCTCGACTTACTTCTCCTCTGATTCTTCATTTGGGGTGGGCTATCTGCATGCGCAGTGGCCTGCCCGCACTTGGGAGGGGCTGTATGCATGGTGCATTTACCGAAATTGTGCAAATGCTCACTTGAGGAGTTCCCTTACCAGTCAGGTGATTTTAGAGGAAGGTCATATACTAGTTAAATTCCACCATTTTGCCTCTTAGTGCACATGCTTGAGCTCTCTCACCAAGCTCCTGGGGTCTTACTGGGAAGCTGCTGATCAACACTATCAGGGTTTTTTTTCTATTTTTTGAAAGACTACCTTTCCCTGGCACTGGCTGTGACGAATTCTTATTTTAGAGAGACAATTTAATAACTGCCTAACCATCACCTGATGGTTACCTGACATTTCTGGTGGGGAGGCTGTCTCCTGTTTTGTTCATGTCTGCCTGAATATGTACTGTAACATTATTACTGGTAAGTAATATTTAAAAACATATAGATGCAAAAAATTTCGGCTCTAGTATTCCATTCCATTATATACTCATGTGAGAGTGTAAAAGTGTTTACACAAGAATATTTTGTAATACTTTATTAGTAGAAATTCTATAAATAATGTGCCCAAGCTAAATATATATATTAATATAGAAAACATCCCCTATATACTCATACATATATTTATGAAGAAATATGAGTCCAAAATAACGTGGTATGTCTGTATTAACAGGTAAGAAAATATGTTCAAATATGTTCAAGTGTAATAAGACAATAAACAAGTTACAATGATGTAAGTATAGTATGTAGTTACTTGTAGTAATTGATACTAACATTAGTTAGTTAACAATAGTTCTACTGAGTAAATAGAAAATACCAGGAGTAGCTTTCACTGTTTTTTTTTTTCTTTTGCTTTATCAACTTTATTCTCTGACAGATCTGGAGGCCAAATGTAAAATCGAGTTGTTGGTGGAGTTGCACTCCCTGTGCAGTCTTTCAGGGAAAACCTGTTCCTTGTTTTTTGCAGCTCCTGGTGGTTGTGAACATTCCTTGCCTGTGGCTGAAACTATTTCTCTGTTTTGTCTTCACATCATCTTCTCTAGGGTGTCCTTTGTGTCTTTTATAAGGACACTATATAAATGTCTATAGCAATGACTGCTATGGAAGTTACATAAAAACAGACTTGATTTTTTTAATTGCATGAATAACCAAAATAGTTATTTTTAATTTTAATATATTTTTTAAATTAGGACATGGTTATTTTAATTTTAAATCATTAGTAATACGAGATGTGTAATTAGTTGATATTTAACGGGAAGTGTTAAAATTCTTGAAGATACATTTATTTTGAAAACTGGATAGGATTTTATAATATTCAAATAACACACATGATTCACCTGTTCAAATTACAAGCAGAAGGAGGGAAAATACATGGATTCATATATTTGAGGCAAATGTAAATTATGAGCTTCATATATGCAACGTGTGTATTTCTTCTTTTCCCTAAGAAAGAAGAAATGTACACATTAAGTATATATTTATGGCTACATGGTAAATTAATAGAATGAGAAATGAAGTCTTGAGGTGAATAACATTTACTTCTATGACTAGATCTTAAACAAATTGAGCAAAGGGTGTAATATACGAAAATCAATGTGTCCCATATATCCCCGTTTGACAAAGGATAGTGTAAAAAAGGAGTGTCAGGCCATGGACACTCATTCAAACAGTCCATTTGGGATTCCATGTGTATTGTGGCTTCAAAATTTAAATACTGCAACCTTTTTCCAAATGGATACATGGTTTTCAAATGTGTGGCACGTATGTATATGAATGTGTGTCCAGAAATAAAATAATATATATTAGTTCTTACAATAATATGTAAGAATAAATTTCTGCTTTTTGAATTACCTCTTTCAAAGTCATCAAATAACTCCATTCTAATAAACTAGGAATATTAATGAAGCTAAACATTATAATTATTCTGTTATATAAATTATAACATTGTTTTTACTTTATCACTATTTCTGTTACTTATCTCTTTTGAAACCATTACAGGCTTTGATTAGGTTTCTAAAACATATTTAAACTGTTTTTATACTTACCAGTTTTTTACAAAGACCTCTTTATTGACAATATTTTATTTTTTGCTTGGTTGGATTTTGTTCTTGAGTTCTTACTTTTAACCTGGGTTCATGGAAACAATGTTATCTGCATATTTTCGTGCTTCAGAAAATTTAAATACACCTTTGAAGAAAATAAAATTTATTGAATATAATTTTTCTTTATGTTTTAGATTTTGATGTATTTTTTGGAGGCAGATAATTGTATGATATAGAAAAAAGAAAATACCGTATTTTTTCCCCTGAATTTGACTTATTTTTATCTTTAGAACTTAGAATTATGGTTAGTAGTGAAGGTTCAATGTTAAGCCTAGGATAAAAATCAGTGACAATCTTTCTATATTTCTCGAGACATATTTATCAGATTCTACTCAAAATTTGATGACAGCATTCTTTCTGTTTTTAGGGTTTCTTGTTTTTGTTGTTATTTTCTTGCTATTATTTGTTTCTCTTCAATTTTTATGTTTGCTCTATAGAAACAGCATGCACATACATTGGAATATTTTTGGGTAATCGAATATATTTTTATGTATGAAATTATGTATAAGTTTTTACAATTATTTATTCAACATAATTTCTCATGATGCCATTATTTGTCTCTACTTTTGTTTTTGCTGTGATTCAGAAAGGAGAGTAAATCGACTGCTGTTACATTTGCATATTTAACTGGATATTTTCTGTGCTCATTGATAGAAAGTGCTATTTTACCACTTATTTTATGTTTTTATAGATTTTTATTTAATAACAGCTGATTTTTAAATTGAAATAAATTTGGTTTTAATTTTTAAAGCAGTGATTCCAACATTACATATTCTATTGGGAATGATGCACATCTGAACAACCCTTCATCATCTTGGGGCACAGTCTGAAATCTTAGAAATCAGTTTCACTTTCCTAAGTATAGGACTGGCAAACCCTAAAATCACCACTACTTCTATTGCAATCATTGGGTAGTGCAGTGAGAATGACTGTAGCTGGAGAATTTCATTAAATTGGGTTCTGTCAGGAGACAGAAAACACATCAGTAATTTGAATTGGACATTTTAATATAAAGTTATCTTAATTGGTAAAAGAGGGTGGGTTAAAGAGAAACATAAAAAATAAGGAAATAGTAGATATAGGATCAGCCACTGTATACTGGCTGAGGCAGAGGGCACAGGAAGAAATGGACTTGGAATAGATTCTTCACATCTCATTGAAAGGGTTGTGACTATGTTCCTGTGGATGGCTGAGAAGCTGAATGAGGTACTGTAAGCTTTGGACAGCAAGAAGTGTCTCAGCTGGGTGAGACTGTTTGGGAGCAAGGTTTTGATTAAAGTTCCTGGGAAGCGCTGTCTACTGAAGTGTCCATTAATCTTGCTGACAAACCACCAATGAGTATGTCACTGACACTTGGTGAAGGGTAAGGACCACTACATGTTTTATACCCAGCTGGTTATCACAGGCCATAACAGCAAGAAGGAAACAGCACGCTGGAGTATAAAGAGAAGACCCTCCCTTCAGCGAAATTTACTGATAAAGATTAGCATTATGTCAGCAGCAAATGAGAAATATTTAGAGGGTACTGTTTCAGTATTACAATGCAAGCCAAAGAAGGTGAATTTGGAGTTTAGCCTCAACAAACTGATAACTGGCTCAGAAAACAAAAATGCTATCAGGACATGCACATACCTCTTGATATGGTTTGGCTATGCTCGCACCCAAACCTCATCTTGAATTATAGCTCTCATAATTCCCACATGTTGTGGGAGGGACCCAGTGGGAGATAATTGAATCATGGGGGTGGTTTCCACCATACTTTTCATGTGGTAGAGAACAAGTCTCATGAGATCTGATGCTTTAATAAGGGGTTTCCCCTTTCACTTGGCTCTCATTCGCTCTTACCTGCCACCATTTAAGACACTCCTTTCACCTTCCACCATGACTCTGAGGCCTCTCCAGCCATGTGGAACTGTGAGTCTATCATACCTCTTTTTCTTGATAAATTACCCAGTCTCAGGTATGTCTTTATCAGCAGCATAAAAACAGACTAATACACCTCTTAAAGTAACAAGGCTCATAATTGTTATAATCAGGAAGCTTCTCCAGAAACATGGTTTCATCTGGGTCTCGTCTTTGAATCTGAGTTCTTACTTTTATTTAAGTTTTCTTTTCATTGACTTATGTTCTATAAGAGTAACAGAGTAGTTCTCCTTCTTCCCTGAACTACAGTCTTCCTCAGGGGGAGCTTGGGAAAAATACAATTGCTGTAGTTCCACCATCTTATTCAGCTTTACATAGTGACACTAACAGATACCTATTTCTGTGTGAGTGACAAATAAAAGAGATGTACAGAACAACACTTACATGAGAAATTAACAATATAGCATATTTTATATTAACATACATTAACCTGAAAAAAATTAAATTATTTATTATTTGCTAGTATTCCTGTAATTTCCCACAGATTAAGGGTTCTCCTTAGAAAGTTTTTTCAACTTATTACCATTCTATAGTAATGATATTTTTACTCTTCGGTACTTTGAGGATGTTGCTTCATAGTATTTAATATGCATTGTCTCTGAAAAGAAGTCTTCTGTCATTCTAATATTTTTTTCTTTGTACAGCCAGGTATAATTTCTTTTCTCTGACTCACTTTAAGGTGTGTCTTTCTCACTAGTTTTAAGAAATTTTATTATGATACGTTCTGCTACAGTGTTACATTTTTTTGGCAGGGGAGGGACTTGGGCCTGTTATACCTTTTTGGATCTGTGGGTTTATGAATTTTATTGTATCTTGGTCATTATATCTTGGAAAATTCTTGGCCATTGTATCTTCTTTTTCTGTCTTACTTCCTCTCTCCTTTCCTTAGTAACTCCATCAGCATATATATTAGGAAGCTTGAGTTATCCCATATCTCACTGTTGTCTTCATTTTTGCATTTATTTTACCCTATTTTATTTTCCATAAATATGTCCTACTTTTCAATGGCAGAAAATTTTTACTATGTTCAGTTGCAGTTATGTTCTACTTTTACGTCTTCAGTTTCAGTAATCTTTCTGTATGTTGTATAACCTGCTGTTGATTACATACAGAATATTTTAAATCAAATATATTTTTAATCTCCAGAAGTTCAGTATAGATTTTTCATATATTTTCCATGTCCCACATAATTCCATCTTGTTGAACATATGTACAAGTTGACTGAAGTCAAGGGATACTTGACCGGAAGTATGGATACTTGAGACTAGAAGTATTTCAGATTTCAGATTGTTTCAGATTTTTGGATATTTGCATATATATAACGAGATATGTTGGGAATGGGACCCAAGTCTAAACACAAAATTTATTTCTGTTTCATATACACCTTATACACATAGCCTGAAGGTAATTTTATATAATATTTTAAATAATTGTATGCATGAAACAGTTTTAACCAAATTTTGACTAGGACTTGCCAGTTGATGTCAAGTATGAAATTTTCAATTTGTGACATCATGTTGGTGCTCAAAAAGTTTCAAATTTTTGGGCCTTTCAGATTTTATATTTTTGGATTAGAAATACTTAACCTAACATTATATCTTTTTAGCCATACCATCTGTTTAAAAGCCATACCTTCTGAGTCCGCTTATATTGATTTATTTTTTCTTCCCATTGTTGGTCATTTCCTACTTCTTCACATGTGTAGTAATTTTTTAATTGATGCTGATTAATGTGAAGTCTATCTTTTCTGATGCTGGATATTTTCACATTCCTAGAAATATTCCTAAGCATTTGGTTCTGCACGACAAAAGCAGCCTTTGTCTAATATCCATTTTTCCTGAGTACTGAGAAAATACATTTGGATTATCCTACCAGATCCCTAATGAATTACATTCTTTACTTATGCCATTGGGAAAATAATCTATTCTCAGTCAGTGTGAGTTCTGGGATTCTATGCTTCTTTTTTTCTTTTAATTATATATTTATTTTTATATTTTAATTTTTATTTTCAAGACAGATTCTCACTGTGCTGTCCAGGCTGGAGTCCAGTGACTATTCACAGGTGCAATCATAGCAAACTACAGCCCTAAACTTCTAGGCTCAGTCAATCCTCCCTACTCAGCCTTCTGAATGTTAGGACTACAGGTGCTCTTCACTGTGGCCAGGTACTTTTTCCCAACTTTGAGTTCTCTTATATGCATGAACTGATCAGTACTCCACTAAAGATTCAAGGGGAATTCTCTGAAGACCTGCAGATTCTCTCTCTTTCTCTCTTTCCCCCTCTTTTTCTCTCTATCTCAATTCTCTCTCCCTCCCTGTCTCTCTCTCTGCCCACCCCACTTCTCTTCCTCCTCTTCTTTTTACCTCTCTCCATTAAATTATTCTGTCATTTGAATGCCAGATTCCTTGGTCTCCTTAGAATCCAACCTTTATATCCTCTCCTCAGAGAGGCTTCTCACACACATTGGGATTTATCTTCACCGTGCTGTGGACTAGAGACTCTTTCCATTGAGGAAGTTAGGCAATTTTAAGGCTCAACTCATTTATTCATTTATTTTATCTCTCTCTATGATAGCTCTCATGTTTAGCTAACATTTTTCACATATTTTGCTTATTTTATATTTTAGTTAGATAAAGCCTAGTTCCAATTATTCCATCTTGACCACAAGCAGAAGTCAATTCAATATTTTTTTATTATCTCTTTTTACTTTTTATTTGATAATTATTTTTTAAGTTATATTTTAAGTTTAGGATTACAAGTGCAGGTTTGTTACATAGGTATTCTTGTGTCACGGGGGTTTGTTGTTTTTGCTTTGCCTAATACACAGAGCTTGTTGAAGAAATATTTCTCCTCTGGGCTCACACCTGTAATCTCAGCACTTTGGGAGACTGAGGAGGGTGGATCACCTGAGGTCAGCAGTTCGAGACCAGACTGTCCAACATGGTGAAGCCTCATCTCTATTAAAAATACAAAAATTAGCTGGGCCTGGTGGCACATGCCTGTAATCCCAGCTAATTGGGAGGCTGAGGTGGGAGAATTGCTCGAACTCGGGAAGTGGAGTTTGCTGAGATTGTGCCACTGCACTCCAGCCTGAGCGACAGAGTGAAATTCTGTATCCAAAAAAAAAAAAAAAAAAAGAAAGAAAGTAAGAAAAACACAGAAATAAAATAAAAATAAGAAAGTTGGGTATTTTTTTCAAGCTGAGACAAGATTAAGTGTTGGTGCACATAATAGTTTGACTCTATATTAATAGTATTACAGTTCAGTTCATTCAGTAATTATAATTCATATAAATGCATATATATTTGATAATTGAAATAATATATTTAGTAAATGCAACTACTAACAAATCTCACCTACTTATACATTAGGCACTTAAAAAAAGAGAAAAGGAAAAAGGGAGAGCATACATATGAAGCGCATGCTCATATACATATTAAACACCAATATTGTTAAGAATACTAACTTCATATGTAATTAACCAGTTTTTATAAAGGATCCAGTATGTAAATCATCAATTTAAAATTATATCACATAGGTAATTCATTATAAGAATTATGATAACATTGGTTTATAAAGTCTGAAATATGGTAATTCTATGTCACTGTCATTTTTTTAGACTACATATTTTTGTATATCACAAATATTTCAATAAAATGTAATTTCTTCACATTCTAATACCTCATTTATGATCAATTGTATTGTATTTTATCCTAGCAATATGAATATATAATTAAAACAATTGAAAAATATCACCGAATTCTCAAATTGTTTTCTCGAATTTTTTTCAAATGATTTCCAAGACTACTCATTTGTATTTAAAAATCTACATTTTAGCATGTTTTCATACTTTTCTATCTAAACAAGTTATTGTAATATCTACAGGTTTTAGTAACATAATATTATCTCCAATGTATTTAGTTATACATTATGTTAAGCATTTTCTCTTTTTACTATTCCATTTATATCTGTTGTGTTTGTTAACTCATACGATAAATTTCTCAATTCAATTTCAGATAAAATTATTCATATTTTAATATTTAACAAAAAACATCTTGTTTCACATCAGATAAAATTCTTTGCTCTGCAAAAGTGCTTTGGAAATGGAATTATTTCATGTGCATTATTTACATGGTGTGACATGTTATAACTAAGTGTTTTTAAAGAAATTAAATAATATAGAATATTAGGCTACTCTTAGAATAGTGCTCCAATCCAGGATATAAAAGCACATATATTATTAATTTTTAAAGAAAGTTACTTTAAAATAATTTATTATTAAGAACCGCATTAATGAATTCTCTTAGAAAGAGCTTTATTTTAATCCTTTATGACATTCTGAATAATATTTAAAGTATTAATGATGTTGGCTATGATTTTTAATATGCTGTTAATATTTTCAGTGTCATATAATAATTACTTAATTTTTATTGTGATCATGTTATATATTAAGTTAATAACTTCAGGTTATAATTTAAATAACATTTTTCATTTATATACAACATTGGGCATAATTACCTAATTATAATCTATCGTACACTACAGTAAAGTATAAATATTTACTTTACTTGCAATTATTTTGTCTTAGCTGTCTCATTAAAATGCTATATCCTATAAATTATCTTTTAATTAAAGGTTAAATTACATTTCACTGGATATACTATTAGTGTAATGAATTCCCAGGCAAACATGGGCACTTTGTTAGGAGAATAAAATGTACTTATTGTTATGAATGAAATCATCCTCTCTTTTATAAAATACTCTACATGAAAACTTATTCTCTTTTCTTTTCTGGTAAACACATTTTAATAATGAAATATAGATGCATATAGATGTGTCTATAACATATACGTAGAGCTTCTGCAGGGAAATTTTTAAAACCATCAGATCACCAGAAAACAAGGGGAAAGACCCACCCCCATGATTCAATTACCTACCACTGGGTCCCTCCCACACACATGGGAAAGGTGGGAGTTACAAGGTGATATTTGGGTGGGGACACAAAGCCAAACCATGTCATTCTGCCCTGACCCCACCCAAATCTCATGTCTTCACATATCAAATCATGCCTTCCCAGCAGTCCCCCAAATTTGTAACTCATTTCAACATTAACTCAAAAGTCTAAAGTCCAATGTCTCATCCAAGACAAGGCAAGTCCCTTTTGCCTATAAGCCTGTAAAATCAAAAAATGAAAACCAGTTAATTATTTCCTAGATACAATGGGGGTACAGACATTGGGTAAATACAGCCATTCCAAATGGGAGAAATTTGCCAGAACAAGGGGCTACAGGGCCCATGCAAGTCCAAAATCCAGCGGGACAGTCAAATCTTAAAGATCCAACATGATGTCCTTTGACTCCATGTCTCACATCCAGGTCATGCTGATGCAAGAGGTCCATTCCCATGGTCTTGGGCAACTCTGTCCCTGTGGCTTTGCAAGGTACAGCCTCCCTCGCAGCTGCTTTCACAGGCTGACATTGAGTGTCTGTAGCTTTTCCACGTGCACAGTGCAAGTTATCAGTGGATCTACAGTTCTGGGGTCTAGAGGATGGTGGCCCTCTTCTCACAGCCCCAATAGGTGGTGCCCCAGTAGGAACTCTGTGTGGGGACTCCAACCCCAAATTTCTCTTCTGCATTGCCCTAGCAGAGGTTCTTCATGAGGGTTCTACTTCTACAGAAAACTTCTGCCTGGGCATCCGAGCATTTCTGTACATCTTATGAAATCTAGGCAGAGGTTCCCAAACCTCAATTCTTGGCTTCTTTGTACCCGCTGGCTCAGCATCATGTGGAAGCTGCCAAGGCTTGGGGCTTTCATCCTCTGAGGCAACAGCCTGAGCTGTACCTTAGTCTCTTTTAGTCATGGCTGGAGTGGCTGGGACTCAGGGCATTAAGTACCTAGACAGCACACAGCAGAAGGACCCTGGGCCTGGCCCACAAAAACATTTTTAGCTTCTAAAATTCTGGGCCTGTGATCGGGGAGGCTGCCGCTAAGTTCTCTGACATGCCCTGGAGACATTTTCCCCATTGTCCTGGTGATTAACATTTGGCTCCTTGTTACATATGCAAATTTCTGCTGCCAGCTTGATGTTCTCTTCAGAAAATGAGATTTTCTTTTCTATTGTATTGTCAGGGGCTCTGTTTCCCTTTTAAAATGGAATGCTGCCTTAATAGCACCGAAGTCACCTCTTGAATGCTTTACTGCTTAGAAATTTCTTCTGCCAGATACCCTAAATCATCTCTCTCAAGTTCAAAGTTTCACAGATCTCTAGAAAAGGGGCCAAATGCCACCAGTCTCTTTGCTAAAACATAACAAGAGTCACCTTTGCTCCAGTTCCCAATAAGTTCTTCATGTCCATCTGAGAGCACCTCAGGCTGGACTTTATTGTCCATATCACTATCAGCTTTTTGGGCAAAGCCATTCAACAAGTCTCTAGGAATTTCCAAACTTTCCCAAATTTTCCTCTCTTCTTCTGAGCCCTCCAAACTGTTCCAACCCCTGACTGTTACCCAGTTCCAAAGTCACTTCCACATTTTCGGGCATCTTTTCAGCAGTGCCCTACTCCACTGGTACCAATTTAATGTATTTGTCTGTTTTCACGTTGCTGATAAAGACATAACTAAGACAGTGCAATTTATATAAGAAAAAGGACTTACAGTTAATGGACTTACAGTTGCACATGGCTGGGGAGGTCTCACCATCATAGCAGAAGGCAAGGAGGAGCAAGTAACGTCTTACATAGATGGCATTAGGCAAACAGCTTGTGCAGGGAAGACAGAATTGAAAGAAGACCAATATGAAGTTAAGAAGACATTAGCTCTGATGTACACACTTAAGTATTTTGTGGAAGGTATATTTACTAACTGAAAATTGATGCTTCATGCTTTTTTACTATTTAATAAAATCTCGTTTGAGCTCTTGCTTACAAAGATAGTTCTTGCTGGAATCATGCTGTTACTGCCAGGAAAACATATGTTAAGTTATGACAACATGAGTTGTTCTACTTTGCATGTCAGTTTTATTTATCATAGCAGATTTTATAAATAGTCAGTTTGGTTTAGTATCAATCTTGTGAATGTGTGTCTGCATTCCAGTGTCAATCTACTCTGAAAATCCAACTTGGAAAAGGATAATTCCTTTTAAATATTGGAATACACAATATAGTACAAGGAGAGAACCTAAGGAGATAGCTAAAGAAAAGACAATCTGATAGATGCCAATGAGGTAGTTCAGCCAGGAATTGGGCAAGTCAAAAGCCTTACAAGTATCAATCAAGGATGTTGTAGAAGAAGTTCATGTAGTATAATTTAGCATTTATTGAGGATGGGAAATGTTAGCAACATTTGAACTAGATAGCATCTGGAATTTATTCAAATACCATCACCTATTCTTTAAATCAGACTTCAATTTATATTCCTATGTATAATTTACAATAGTATGAATAATCCTCAGAATCATTGTACATTTTTATATCACCCTTTATATAAGATAATGGAATTTTTTTCTCTGCTTTATGACTTCTGAGCTTTTATTATAAACATGGTATATATTAAATCCAAATAATAATTAGGCATTATTTTCTTAAATATGTTTGAAATTTTAAGATTTTACTATATTTACAGAAAAATAACTTAGTTACTATTTTAAAGTTTACAGCAAAGACTGCAAGATTTACATGTGTTTTGTTGTTTTAATTTTGGTTAATCTCTATCACTAAACATGGATAAGAATTTACTCTTTCCGGAAGCCCAGACACACATGAACCTCATTAATTAAAATATAATTCATAAATCCCAAATGTTGGCGGTGTAAAAAAGAAAGTTCTGACACCTCTATATGATCATGATAGGTAACAGTGAGTGAGACATCTTTTTTTCCTATGTGGTATTTTGGGTTGATCTTTAAGAATAATATTGGCCCATAAGCTTCTATGTTTTCCTTCATTATATAAATTTAAAATCACTAGTATACTCTTCTCATGAACCAAGTGTGTCCCTATGCTCTGTCTGAATTTAAATAACTGGAATCATCTGTTATAGAAAAGTTCATTGAGCTGTATTGGGATCTTCCATGTTTGGTTTCTGGAGGGGGTACATTTACTTAAAGCCTTACAGATTATCTTATATAAAATAACATGTTTAATTTTTCTGCTATATATTTTTGAAATTTTTACTTTAAGACTGATTTCACTCAATTTTTCTAAATGTATGTGCACAGAAACGAAAAATATTAACTTACCACTATTTTATTAATAACATAATCATTTTTTATTCTCATTTAAGATTCTGTACCATTATATAACCTTTCTAATATTTTTATGTTAGTACTAGTTTCCTATTTATTATAACTAGATAATTCTGGAAAACCCCACGTTTTATCATAATTTTTACTTTTAAGTTTTATTACTTAAATTTATTATTTTGTTTCATGACTCTGTATGGGTTAGAAATATATACACATTCTCAAATGTTTCAATATTTATTGAATTATAAAATATCCTAAAAGAAAAACTATGTCTCTTTTATATTCTGGAATCTAAAGACTATCAGTGATTTTTCATTACTGAATTTTCATATTGAGCAAAATTGCTCTATGAACCCATTTCTAATGTAGAATAAACTATGGCTTAATAGATAATAGTGGTTACTATTCTGCTGTTACTTCATTTCCTCTGTCTGACTTTTATCCAATAATCCATGTTATTCATCTACCTCCTGTGGGCAGTATTCATTTCTAAGTTACATACATTTTTGTTTTCTGGTGTTTGAGCAAGAACAGTTTTCAGTCCTGCCATTAACTTTAAATTATTGTATTTAGTATTTAGTATTTTTAACAGAAAATGGTAATATATGTATTTATAATTTGAAGTCATAGTACTAGAAATAATGTTGATCTATATTTTATTAATCAGTGTTTTCCTATGATAAAACCTCTTTCTTTAAAATTATGCAACCTAGGTAACATTCTTAAGATGAAAGCTTAATATTGGATCTTTTAAGAGAAATATATTAATCCAACTCAAGTACTGTCCCTAAAAGAATTTTATCTAAGAAGTATTAATGTAAATAATGTGCCTATCAAAAAGGCATTGGAATAATAAACACAATTTGATAAATTAAGCAAATAAAAATAGTCTACGTATATAATATTTTCATAATTATGAGAAATTAAATATGGTTTTAAAAAGTATTTATTAGCTAAAATATTTTATAAGTGATACAAACAGTAACCTAACACTTTAGATAAAACTTTTAGAAATTTAGGACAAAATTGTTTTTCTCTCTAAGAAATTTATAAAAAATATCTTATTTCAGATTGATATATATATATATATATTGCAGGGCAAGTTTATTTCAAACAATCATCTAATTTTTATACAAGGACCCTGGAAATATTCTGAACTTCAGCACTTTCATTCATCAACCCATGGATTGAAACTAGCTAATATAAGAAACAAAAGGCCTGGTGCAGTGGCTCACGCCTGCAATCCCAGCACTTTGGGAGGCTGAGGCGGACGAATCACCAGGTCAAGAGACCGAGACCATACTGGCCAACATGGTGAAACCCTGTCTCTACTAAAAATACAAAAATTAGCTGGGTGTGGTGGCGGGCGCCTGTAGTACCAGCTACTCGAGAGGCCAAAGCAAGAGAATCGCTTGAACCCGGGAAGCGGAGGTTGCAGTGAGCCAAGATCACGCCACTGCACTACAGCCTGGCGAGAGAGCGAGACTCCGTCTCAAAAAAAAAAAAGAAAAAAAAAAAGAAAAAACCCAACAAAACAAAACAAAACAAAACAAAACAAAAATTAATGTACTATTTAGAGTCCACAAAACCTAAGGAAGGTTATAAGAATAGGTTCTTGGTTTAGCTTCCGGAAGAGTTCAGGACATACACTGGATATCTTCTCACCTAACGACAAACCCCAAACCAGCGTCTGTTGTGATCATGAAACCACTTCTACCACAAATACCTGGAATTCAGCTTCTCCTGCAGGCACATACATCAAAATCAGCCTCTTTGATTTTGTCTAATTTCTTGTTCTAGGTTCTTATGTATTACAGTCATATCTGCATAATTCTGAATACTTGACACAAAACTTTGCTGAGAATCAAATTCATATGATACAATTCCCTTCAAAAGAGTTTAGGCTTTGATCCATTTTGTGTTGACATAAAATATTACAAATATAAAAGTAAAAAGCCAGCATATTTTTCACCTTTAAGGTAACATATTTTATGTTTAATTAGAAATATGTCTTCACACTGAAAGTTAATAACAATCCTAGAATAAGAACCAGTGCCAATTTTTCTAATGTTCTGAGATATGATTATCAGATCCTATTCATACAAATAAATATATCCATCACATCATATATGTATTGTTTGAGATGAGAGCATTTAGAGTCTACTTAAACAATTAGCAATTGTTAAGCTGACATTTTTATCAACTGTAATCACCATGCTGTATAATAGATCTCCAAGTCTTATCTTCCTAACAGAACTTTTGTACATTTTGACCAACATCTTCCCATTCCACCTGCTCTTCCTCAGACCCAAGTACACCCTTCTGCTCTCTGCTTATATGAGTTGGACTTTTATTAGATTCCACATATAAATAAGATTATGCCATATTTGTCTTTCTGTGCCTGGCTTATTTTACTTAGCATAATGACACCCAGGTTCATCCATGTTGTCACAAATTAAAATATATATTTTTCTTTTGCTAAGGCCTAATAGTATTCCATTATGTAAATAAACCACATTTTCTTCATCCACTTACCTATTGGTAGACACATGGGTTGATTCCATATCTTGGCTAATGTGAATAATGCTGAAATGAACGTGGAAGTGCAGATCTTCAGCATATTGATTTCATTACCTTTGGCTCTATGCCCAGAAGAGAGAATCCCAAAATATAAAGAAATTTTATTTTTTATTTCTGAGAAAATTATGTTGCTGTTTTCCATAACTGCTGTATTAATTTACACTGTACCAACATTGTACAAAAGTTTCCTTTTCTTCACATTCTCACCAACACTTGTTTTCTTTTGTCTTTTTGATAAAAGCTATTCTAACAAATGTGAGATGACATCTCACTGTGATTTTAATTTTCATTTCCCTGATGATTAGCGATGTTGAGCATTTTTTCATATAACTGTGGAACATTTGTATGTATTCTTTGGAGAAGTGTCTATTCAGGTCAATTGCCCATTTTCTAATTTTCTTAAATTATTGAGTTCCTTATGTATTTTGAATATCAGCTCATTTTTTAAGAGGTAATAAATGTTAATTAGCTTGATTTAATAATTTCATAATGTATACATATATCAAAACATCACATTGTATACCATAAATGCATGAAAGCTTTTGTCAATTAAAATAAAATAATTAAAATTTACAAGCAAATATTACTTAAAATGATTTAATGACTTCAAGCCACTAAAAATTATATACCATACACCTAGTATCTCATTTCATGTACTGTCTTTTAAATACATTACTGTGAAATATATATGATATGTGTATAATTTATTTGGCATGATTTTAGATTTATTAATGTTTAATCTTAAGATCCTAAAAATCTTTAGAACATAAGTGTACATTTTTTCAGTATGTATTATATGTACTTAAAATTACTATACAGTGGAAATCAACTTTTAAAATTGCAGCAATTTTACATGAGAGAAAGAGGTGTGAAAAATAAAGATAGAATTTCTATTGAATAATATCCGTTCTTTCTGTTTGACAATATTTGTTCTTTTCTTGGACTTGGACATATGTGATAAATCATTGGGATCCTTATATTTCCTACCTGATGACATAAAGAAACTTGCCTTTTACTTTATCATTTTCTCTAACATCTCTAAAAGAAATTGATTGATTCCTGAAACTATACAGAAAATAGTAGAGAAGCAGAAATATTAATTTCACTATATAATGCTTCTAAAAGAATATGCAATATTGCACACTTATAACTAGGACTAAAACATAAATTTATATGTAATGACTCAAATAAATATTAAACATTAAATTTTAAAAAATAATATTTATAGAAAATCAAAAGAAGCAAATTGCTTATTTACATGTAAAATGTGGCAATCTGTCACTAACTTTAGATGTATTGAAACAGAAGGTTGATTTTCCAAAATCCAAGTTTAAAGAGATTAAACAGGTGTGTATTCGTTTGTCTAAGCCTTTCTTAGATTGAAAAAGCTGTAATCTTTCTCCATCAGATTAGAACCTTTGCTTCCTGATTCCCCTTCTGAAAGGTACAATTCTCAGTTACCACCAGACCATTTACTCACCATTGCAAGTGTTGCTCCTTGTAGCGACACAGAAAACATTAGAATATACCCCAAATTGCAGATTTGTCAGCTACAAAGACGCGTATATGATATGTGTAAATAAAACTAAACAAGGAATTATACAAATGTTTGCAAAAGCAATAATTTTGAAATAATATATGCTATTATTAAATGAAACTATATGGAGGAAATTGAGGAGAAAAATGTCGTATTTTTATATAATTCCTTCTACACTATTTTTACTGTCTTATTACAAACACTATTTTGTTTCTATGAAAATAGAAATATGAAAGTGGTGATATTGTTAATTTATGCATTCTTTCACTATTTCCCCAGCTATCTTAGAATACCATTGTTTACATTGTTATACATTTCAAGACATCTTGTAAAACATTACTTAGAATCAAAACTGAAAACTCTGGGGTACTTTAATAATTTTTAACCTTCAAATTTGCTTTCTCTCTATAGAGCTTTAATGGTAACATGCACCCTTGATTTGCCTTCCCTTTCCTGGAATCCTGTAGTAGGCCAGGAATTTTACTCTTTACAGCAAAGTTCCAGTTCAGAGCTCCACAAAGGTAGGAAGAAACAAATGAAATAATCTTTCGAAACCTAATAATGGTTAAAAACATTATCTGAGAAGTCTCAAGTTTTTCAAAGGAATACACAAATTCCTGGAAGCAGATAGAGACTCCAATTAGGAAAAACGTGATAATCTTAATTTGACATTTACTTCAGCATTTAAATTGGTTTGTCCTATGGTGCACTCACTTTCAATTCACATGTGTAATATTTTTCACAACAAAATTTATTAGCAACTTTTATTTTTATTTTTTATGTTAAAAATTTAAATTATTATTATTACTTTTTAATTTTTAGAGATAGAGTCTTTCTCTGTCACCCAGTCCAGATGGAGTGCAGTGGTGACCATAGCTCACTGCAGCCTCAAACAAACTCATACATATATATGTATATATTTCCCTAATTTGAAGGTACCGAAGGTTAACAGCATGTTTTTAGATCTCAAATAGAATCAACAGCACTTTTTAATCATAATATCGAGCAGTTGTAACAAGTTTTAGTTTTATCTATGAACAATCTATTTCTATTTCTTATCTTTTACATTAAACAATCATTCCTAAACCTTTAAATTTGTTATTTAGAAGCAAACATGGATGCCTTTTCTTCATTTTCATTGAGTCTACCATTTGGTAAAATATAAAACATAAAAATTACTTAACAAATTGTGCTTGAGAAATTTAAATGCTTATCATTACCCTTTTAATGTCTGAGCATAGATAAGTATGAAATAGTTGTATAATAAAAAACTATAGAATATTACTACACATTAAAATCTTGTTAGCAACTTATTTTGTGAATTAACAAATTTTGAGAAAGTCCATGTATTTACTCAGCATTTTTGTTACCTGTGTTTTCTCAGATTTAGATAAAACCATTGGAAAATTATTTAATTACCTAGCTCTTTATCTGAATTATCATATATTTATAAAAAAAGATTGGTATCTGGTTGAGCTAGTTTTCTCACCTGTTTCTACGACAAACACATTTTGAAGCATTTGACAATTCACCTTTTTGCTGTGTTTTAACATTAATTTTCAAGATACATGTATAAAATAATGTGAGACTTTGAAATTTGTGAATGAAAACAAATTCAGAATTAGGTAAGGAGAGACTGTAATTAAAAGCAAGACTATTGCAATAAGGGAAACACTATGATCATAGAAATCTGTCAGAACTCAAGCAAAAAAGATTTTTTTGTTTGTTTGTTTGTTTGTTTGTTTTTCTAACTAGGTTAAAGTAGAGGTAAGCAGAAATAAGCAGAATCTTTGTAAGGGAACCTGGACTTGCAAGAGGACATGACTAGTGGAGTCTGACAGGAAGAGTCTTGCTTTGGTAAGCTGCTTCCCAGGAGAAACTAAGGGTGGCATGGTTTTCTGTCCTTGTTTAGGCTTAGAGGCAGGCAGAGGTCAATGGCTTGTAAGAGAAAATCCTGACTAGTTGGGTCAAGATAAAGCAGATGATAATAAGTGGCCACTTGTGAACATTTGGTCAAATTGCTTTGAGTTTATAGATTAGTAGAGACAAATGTATATATTTATGTCAAAGTCATTTTTAATTATAAACTTTGAATATGTTCGTATTTATTTAGTTATTTAATGCTTATTTAAAAATGTTTTATAGATTATGAACAGTTTTTGTTAGGTTTGTTATAAAGAATCTGATGTAATAGGTGATAGGCAATATATAATGCAAACACAGGAAATGAAAATAAAGTAATAGATTTCAATTAAATTTCAATTCAAAATAAAATTTATATTCCTAGATTTTTTTTTAGTTATTCTTTAAAAAGTCAGCCAAGTCTTTCTGAGCCTTTTCATTGTATTGATAACTAAAATTTATCCAAAGTTTATAAACCTTAAGACTATGCTCAATGGATAATACTCCTTTTGAATCATTGCCCAGAAAAAGATGTAAGATATCACCAGAATCTCAAAAACATACCTTTTGTTCTTTACTTATCATTAATTTTTTTTTCAGAAAAATTACTACTTAATTCTATCTGACATTCCTACTCAGCATTTATCAACCATTTTAAAAATCATTCTCCTCACAGGTAATTTTCTAGACAATGTATTTGTTAATTTGTCTCTTCCTATAGCTCTATATCTGTTTTGTATTATAGATATATCTATATTTAATAAATAAAGAAGAGTTTTTTTTAACCCCCTAGAAGAACAATTTTTGTCTCCCCATGGGAGATGTCACTATCTTTAATATTCTTGTTGAGAAGAAGAATCATCTGGTATTAGCATCTGTTAAGTGTATTTTGTGGAGACAATGGAGGCATGCTACATACTTAGGTTTACCTGGGTTCAACTGTTTATAAATAAAATCACATCAGGTATTCTCTTCCTTTTAGTTCCTTTCACTGAACATATTTAGTGTCAGGCCATTTCAACATCCAAAATCCTTGGGATGCTAATTATGCTATTTTTCCCCTGTTGGATCTCAAACAGTGGTATTTTTCCAAAGAAGTAATAATGGTCAACTCATGGCCACAAAAATTTTCTCCTGAGTATTTTTCCTGAAGTTTTATAATTTTACATACATGGTCATATCTATGAACAATTTTCAGTTAATTTTGTTAAGTTGTAACTTTTAGTCAAAGACTATTAGTTAAATTTACAAATTTAATTACTCAATAGCAATTTGGAAACACTTTTCTTTGTTGAAGGGTTTGTACGTTTTTCAAAGAGCCATTGACTACATTTCTGTGGCTCTTTATCTAATCCATAAATACATATGCTCATACTTTCCCTCAAATAACACGTATTTGTAGTAAATTTTGAATGCAGATAATGTAAATTTTTTAACTTTGTTTTTCTTGAATATGAAGTTCTGTTACCAATTAGTTTTTAGAAGTATATTGTTTAGCTTCAAATATTTTGTTTTCTTGATATCTTTCTGTTATTAATTTATAATTTAATCCTACTTGGAAACATTTAAATGCATTCATGTGTGCTTTACGGTGACACAATGTAGTCTGTCTTGACAATGCAAATGATAGAAGATGCATTGTAATTAGGAGTGGTTATGGAATTTGTTCAATAGAAAAGAAATAATCATTATAAGTGTTGAAGAATAGTATTAAATTCAAGGCACTGGAAGCGTTGGTAAGAAAAAAAAGTATGTGCTCAGGAAAGATAACTAATCTCAAGAAGTTCTGTTAAAACCAGAAGACAGCTTTGAACACTTTTAACATTCTCATTTTCTGCATATGCACGGCACATTATTCAGGATATAAAGCTCAGGTTCTGATTATATGTACATATAAATTAAGTGCCAAGATCTCTCCCATATTAAAACCAAGACTTTGATAATAGAGAGCACTAACATCCGAGATGACATAACTGAGTAAATAAACCTGATAATCTTGAAAATATGTAATCTTTTAAACAGTCTGGGCTAGTAAAAGCATTCATTGTCTCCACTAAATAAACTCACCAGATGCAAATACAGGATGATTCTTGTTCTCAACAAGATCATGTGTACCTCTTTCACTGGCAAAAGGTGAACCATAAATTTTAGGTCTCATCTGAGTGGCACAAGTATCATCTCTACTGTAGGAGAAAAGAGTAACTATAAAGCATGAATAATGTAGTAGGAGGAAGAAGAAAATACATATGGAATGGCTCTTGAGATGCTGCAATACGTGTGTGGGACCAGTAGAAGTTTATTCACACAGAAAAGCTTACCTGATTCTCAAGATTTAATGTTCTGACACAGGCAAAAGGAAGGCTCCTTGAAATTCAGATACAATGATGCCTAAAATAATTAAGTTGGAGATGCAGGAACTCCTTTGTAATTGCATTGATGAAGAGTTAAGAGTACTTAGGGATATAAAATGAGTTTACTATGTTGACTAAAAAACAAATGCCTTAAATCTATCAAATTTTGACAATAAGTCTTTCTATTGAAAACTATGAGAAATATTGTCTCAATATGCATCTCCCATTTTGGGAAGTCTAAAAATAGCTTGCTGTTCTCATATTGTCTTTTGCATTTTCATGGGAACACAGGAGTTTTTTTTTGTCCTTATCAGTGTTTCTTAAATTTTTCTTCATTTCCCTCCTCAGGAGTCTTTTAAAACATACCTGTTTATTTAGTGTCTGTATATTTATAAACTATATACAAAAAAGAAAGACTTAAAATTTTTAAAGCTATCAACATTTAATTTGACCTATAATTAACTGTATTCATTAACTTTTAATGTACTTGGAAACAAATTATATCCCTGATAAAAATAAAGTGTGTAATATGACAACAATCTAACCCAATTTTCCCAGTACTAATTTTATTTTTGAGTGAAGTATGTCTCTTGGTTATCCTTTTTCTTAATAGACTGTTTCTTCATGATTCAGTTTATTTTATCATACATTTGTAATAAGATAAAGCAATTTCAAGCAGAAAAAACTTCAACTATGCTTGGGTCAGCCAAGTTTGCAAATGTAGACAAACATATTAACTTTTTCCCTTTAAAATGTTCACACTTCATAACAATGATGCAGTTTAGAGATTAAAGTTTGTAATTAATTTTAAGACTTACATTTACTGACAGAGAGCTGTTACACTGGCAGGTATAAGGTAATTTACACATTTAAATTGAGATAAAAGTTCTAACAGAAGTCCTAGATTGAAGCTCACATAGACCTCTCAATTAAAATAAAATGATGGCTAAGAGGCAAATGAAAAACAAGACTTTTTTCCTAACAATTTTATATAAATTTGTCACTAAAAAACATTGTCTAACATCAACACAAGAATAATAGAATTAATGACCCTTTCTACATATAGACAATAAGATGGCTGAAATAATTACATTATGAATTGATTACTATAAAATGGATGTTCTGCACACTAGAATATATCAGATCAAAACTCTCTTATTTACTTTTAGTTATTATTGTTGATCATGTAGCAAAGTGGTCAATCTGTATTATAATTAATTTTAACTATTTTATAATTAGAACATTTAATAATTAAAAAATACTTAACAAAAGAATTAGCTTTTTTAATTCAGGTGTCAGCAATCTTTTTCTGTAAGTGCCAAATTTCAGAGAAAGGATTCATAGACATCATGGAAAGCAGTGGATGTCACTCTGTTTTAATAAAACTTTATTTGCAAACACAGATGGAGAGTCAGTCTTCCCATGCAGGCTGATATTTGCTGATCTTATTCAAATAAATAGGCCAGGAATAACAAAACAGTAGTGAACCTTAATTATGAAACTATTTTTGTGCATTGATGCTATTTTGAATGAAACAAACATCATAATTTAATCTCCTCAGTGATTCTCTGTATTTATTTGTTCTATGAGAATGTATCACTTAATAGTTCTCACACACCAGGGTAGAATATATATATATAAAAGATGTGTGTATCTAGATATTGTACAACTACTAGATTACTTTTGTCATTTTCTAAAGTCCTGATTAGTGTTTGTGGCAAAGAACTCACTCTAATAAAATTAAATAACAAAGCAGTAGCAAATATTTTTGCACTTTATAAAATGTTTACTAAAGCATAAACTTCCATAGGAGAATATCAGAATTACATTAGCATTTGCCATGATTTGGCTCTGTGTCCCCACCCAAATCTCATGTTGAGTTGTAATCCCCAGTGTTGGAGTTGGGACCTGGTGGGAGGTGCTTGGATCATGGGGGTGGTTTCTAATGGTTTAGCACCATTCCCCTAAGGGCTGTCTTGTGATAGAATTCTCATGAGGTCTGGTTGTTTAAAAGTGTGTAACACCCCCTCCTTTCACTCTCTTCCTCCTGCTCCCGCCATGTGGTACATGCGGGCTTCCCATTTGCCCTTCACCATGATTGCAAGTTTCCTGAGGCCTCCCCAGCTATGCTTCCTGTAGAGCCTGCAGAACAGTGAGCCAGTTAAACCTCTTTATAAATTACCCAGTCTCTAGTAGTTATTTTTAGCAATGCAGGAATGAACTAACACAGCACTCAAATCTTTCCAATATATATCAGTGCTATAGTTACTGGAGAAATATTGATACCAATTTATTACTTGCATTATTCACTGACAAATTATTTCTGAGTTTTCTCAAGAATGACTAGACAAGGGAAATCAGTGCTAACAACAACAAAGATTAAGGGTGCCATTTTACCAATTCAGCTTATCAATAGAGATAGTCCCAAAGTAGTAATCATTTAATTGAAAGACAGTTGAATACACCAAGCACAGAGACCAGTACATAAACAAGTAAACTTGGGATACACATAAACTAGACACAATATAATGACACTTTCAGCTAATTACTCTTATCAAGAAAGAAAGAACAAAATGACAATTGAAATATTAAACAATTAAATGTGAATAAAAATGTGCTTATGAAGGCCTGCCAGTATCAACATGAGCAAACAACTTTGTGTTTTATTCATTAGAGAGAGATGGTATTATTGAAATGTCAGTTATCAAAGTTGATTCTTCTAACTCTGAAAAAAAGTATTATTTTACATCTGCATAAAAACTATTATTTTTTAAATAATGAACTATTTCAAGGCCTACAAATATATAAAACATGTATTTTGGGGGAAAGTGTATTTTTTTTAAAACCCGACTTTTAATTTTTTTCAAAATAAATTCTTCTCATAATTTGACACGTGTATTTTTTCCTGTGGGCTTATTCAATCTAGGAATAGCTCATTCTTTTTTTAAACTCTCATGCATTTCTTAATGTGGAGCTTTTAATAACAAATACCCAAGTCAAAGAGTTGGAGGGTTAAATGAACAATATAACATACACCTCCTTGTTAAAGCCTCATACTCAATAATTATTAGACTGTCTTCTTTTTTACCATTATGGAGGCATTAACATTAGAAATTTTCTCAAAGAACTAGGAAAAAATTTTATGTGCCATACCCTTGTTTTTAGTCTTCTAATGAGTAATATTTTCACCAAATAAAAATATTGGTTTTTCATGAACAGTTGCGGCATATCCTTCTCTCAGTGAGGCCAATGTGATTGCTGAAAACAGTATTTGTTTCCCTTGCTCCAAACTAGGTAAAATTGAAATAACTTTAGTATAATTAAGTACTCCATTTTTCTAAGAGATAGAGAATGAGTTACTATTGTCTGCATCATTTTTTTTTCTCCTATTTTCTCGGTTTCCTCCATTCCCCACCTCCTACTTAGCCCTTTAGAAATGCAATTAGAATCTTTCACCTCCCCTTCACCAGATAATCCCTATGGGGTAAGTTCGTCTAACTATGTGCTTAGAAGCTCCAGAATGGAGCTCTCTCCCACCAGGAGACTGCCTCAAGAGACCACAGTCAATTTACAACCCAAATTCTGCCTGCTATGAAACTCTCATCCACCAGCAATCTGCCTCAAGAAATAACAGGCAATTTAAAACCCAAAGTCCCTATGGAACCTTGTCCCACCTGGAGATGCCTGGCCACCTTTACAACCTAGTTCTACCGCTGTCCACAAAGGTAACAACTTGATGGCCTGGCATGTAAGACACCAAAACTGGTACACAGAGCCTCCCCGCACCTGCCCACCTCCTCCCCTGCATGCGTTTCATGCTACGTCCCCTTTGAAAAGTACACACTTTCTCCTCCAAAAGTGAAGTAGTATCCTTAAGGCAGGAAGCTGTACTTCTTTCCCTCAACTAGCTTTAGAATAAAAAGTCACTTTCTTTATACCAGATCTTGCTCCTGTTAATTGGACTCTACAAGTAGCGAGTGACTGAACCTGCATTTTGGTTACATTAGCAGCTTGCAAAATCCCCTCCTAGGTTCTCTGACCTGGAGACAAATGGCCATTATGATAAAAAAAAAATAGCCAGTGTAAATATCTGAAATTGCCTCATACCAACATAGTAAAAAAAAATGCAATGCAGCATTTCAGAAGGAATCACCGACATTAGTGCCACCATAACAGAGATATGAGTGGTGATCACTATTATATCATCTTTTAATCCATTCAAATTGCCTCAGAGAAATGAGATGCATTATGACAAATACAAGTGTATTAATGCAAACTTAAGCTATAGCTCCAATTGCACCTGTTGTACTGGATGTGGTATATTAATCGGGTTGATCAATATGGCTCCTTGATGCTGCAGACCACATAAAGTCTTCAATATCCAGGCAAATAAATATAGTTCTTTAAAAGCATACAGAAACACAAAATAAATGAGTTTTTTTCTTCAGCCTGTGGTTTTAATATTTTACACAGATTTCTTTCATTAAAAATAGCTAAGTTCATAAATAAAGTTTATATTAAAATTTAATTGATTTTGTTTCCTTGGGCAATATAGTGATATAAAAGTGTTGAAAATAGAATCTTCCCTTTGAAATCAGTGGAGCAAAGAAAGAAAATTTAGTTTATTTCTCAATGTGCGTATCTGATTTGTACAGAGTTCTCAAAATACCAAATAGTTAGTAGGTGTTTTTATTCTTTTCAAATGCATTGTCTGTTTTTTTGTTTGTTTGTTTGTTTTTAAATAAATCTTTCTTCCTTTAAGTATCTGACTATGCAGGTTTCTGTACCTGTGGCTTTTTAAAAACTTAAATGGTAATTTAATGCAGATATAGTGTTTCTTACTAGTGACTATCACTTTATATTTATATATTTTATGGTTAACTCAGCTAGCACAGGCCTATCAAGTGAAAGATACACAGATTTAAACAGTGGTGTAGCATGAATAAGTGATAAACTTAAATATTTCACCTTCAAATACATTTAAATATGGCTTACATATATTTTTACTCATCCTGAGAAGTAAATATTATATTGATAGTTTTATTTTCTGATTGAATGCAGCCCTTTACTTATAAGTATAATTAACTTGTTTATATTTTATTACTACATAATCTATGTATTTATATCAAAGCAAGATAATAAATATAGCTAAATAGCTTTTGCAAGTATTAATAAAAGTAAAATCACAAATATACTTTAAAGTCAATTAGAACATTTTAGTTAATATGTGACAATAATTAGAGCAGAAAGTTGTCAATCAAGATTTTAACTTTTAAACATAGTGGTCAACTATATTTTATTTTGTTAGATTCCAAAATTTCAGTCTTCCAATCATTTCCTTTGTTTGTTTTTTTGTTTGTTTCTGAGACAAGGTCAGTCTGTCACGGAGGCTGCAGTTCAGTGGTGCTATCATAGCTCATGGCAGCTTCAGACTCCTGGACTCAAACAATTCTCCCACCTCAGGCTCCTGATGGGGAACTACAGGCATGCACCCTATGCCTGGCAATTTTTAAATTTTTTGTAGAGACAGGGTTTTGCTACATTGCCCAGGCTGGTCTTGAACTCCTGTCCTCAAGCAATTCCCCCACCCTGGCCTCCCAAAACACTGGGATTACAGGAATTAGCCACCACACCTGGCCTCTTTCGGTCATTTTTTAACAATTTACAGATTTATATAAAAATTATATAATAAATTATACTAACTTTTAGTGCGACTGAAAATATTCTATTAAATAGTTATCCCGATAACTATAGTCAACACATATTTCAGAGTTTTACTACTCAAAACATAAGATTATATGGTGTATTTTTTACTCTAAAAGTCGTGATAACAATTTTTAGAAATAAGATACCTTGATGCACAGGGTTAGAAAATATTCTAGGAAACTAATACCAAATGCCTAAAACTTACAAATTATTCTATTCACAGTTGCATAGGAAGATACAAGAAGAATCAGCTGAAATATTATGAAAGTAGTTGCTACTGGGATTGAGGAAATTGTCTTGGAAGCAGTATGTGTATTTCTCCTATTGCCATATAACAAATTACCACAAACTAAAAGCCTTAAAAGACCATCCTTTGTGGTGGGTGTGGTGGCTCACACCTGTAATCCTAGCATTTTGGGAGGCCAAGGCAGGAGGATTGCTTCAGGCCAGGAGTTCAATGGTCAACATAGCAAGGCCACCCCTGTCTCTACAAAAAAATAAAAATTAAAAAATAGCCAGGCATAGTGATGCATGCTTGTGATCCCAGCTACTTGCAAGGCTGAGGCAGAAGGATCGTGTGAGCCCAGGAGTTGAGGCTGCAGTGAACCATGATGACACCACTGCCTTATAGCCTGGGTGACAAAAACCGCCATCCCTTAAAAACATACAAAAAAAACCCATCCTTTGAGTATCTAGCAATTTCTGTCAGAATTTCAGGTCTGACACATTTGGAGTCTCTGTTCAAGGTCTCAGAAGCCTATAAGCAAGGAATCGGTTGGTCTGCATTCTTATGTGAAGCTCAGGATCTGCTTCCAAACTTATTCAAGTTGGAAGAATTTACTTTCTGTTGGTTGTAAAGCTGAGAACCCACCTTTCTTGCTAGCTGTCAGCAAAGGTTTGCTCTGCTCTGGTGACATCTAGAGGGGTAGGCAGCTTTTAAACATTTTTCTCAAGCATACAATATGTAATAATCACATCAGTGTAAATGGGGGTAGTTGTCACATCAGGCATTCATCATTTCTTTGTTACAAACATTCCAATTGTACACCCTCATTTATTCTAAAAGGTAAAACAAATTATTGTTGACTGTAGTCACCCTATTGTGCTATCAAATACTACACCTGACTGATTATACCTAACTATATTATTGTAACCATCAACTATCCCCATTTCCTCCTCCCCCAATACCTTTGCCAGCCTTTGGTAACCATCATTCTACTGTCTATCTTCAGGAGTTCAATTGTTTAAATTTTTGGCACCCACCAGTAATTGAAAACATGTGAAATTTGTCTTTATATGCCTGACTTCTTGCAGACATGATTCAAAGATTCTTCTGTCATTTTTCTAACTGAGCCTTTACTCACTAGACCTACTGCACAGTCGTCATTTCGACATTTCCATTCACATCTTCAGAAAAATTCTCTTCACCTTTTCCCTATATTGAATCCTTCATTTACTGGATCTCATATATATCTTTAATTTTGTTGGCTTATTTACTCATTTTAAATACCATCCCATCCCATGGTTTCCTGTTAAAGAGATCATAGAAGATATATCTTTTACAAACCTTGCATATTGTAAAGTTATTTTATTACAGGTTTCCTCATTGGAAATATTTTTTCTCAGAAATATAGAATATTTAATTGTTATTTTTTCATTTTTGCTCTTGCCAATGTGCATGCCATTATAAATCACAATTATTTGTGTATAGATATATTGTTTGTTTCTATTCTTGTTTTTGTTATAATTTTCCTGTTTTTCTCATTTCAAGCCTTAGATCTCCTCTCTATATTTAGTGTTTGTAAGTATCATGATGTACATACTACATTTTTTCCTCTCTTTTTTTCTGTTATTTTTAACTTTTAAGTTTGGGGTACATGTACGGGTCTGTTACATAAGTAAACTTGTGTCATGGGGGTTTGTTGTACAGTTCATTTTATCCCCCAGGTATTAAGCCTAGTACCCATTAGCTATTTTTCCTGATCCTCTTCCTCCTTCCACCTCCACTCTCCTACAGGCCCCAGTGTGTGTTGTTCCCCTCGATGTGTCCACGCGTTCTCATCATTTACTTCCCACTTATAAGTGAGAACATGTGGTATTTGGTTTTCTATTCCTGTGTTAGTTTGCTAAAGATGATGTCATATTTCTGGGCATTTCTCTTTTTTTGAGATGGAGTTTCGCTCTTGTTGCCCAGGCTGGAGTGCAATGGCCCGATCTCAGCTCATGGCAACCTTCGCCACCCAGGTTCAAGCGATTTTTCTGCCTCAGTCTCCCGAATAGCTGGGATTACAGGCATGTGGCACCATGTCCGGCTAATTTTGTATTTTTAGTAGAGACGGGGGTTTCTCCATGCAGGTCAGGCTGGTCTCAAACTCCTGACCTCAAGTGATCTGCCCGCCTCGGCCTCCCAAAGTGCTGGGATTACAGGCTTGAGCCACCGTGCCCGGCTGATGTCATATTTCTTATTATCATACTAGAAACACAGTTGGTCTACTCAGATTGTAAACCTTAGAACTTCTGTTCTGTTCTAATAAATTTTAACTAAAATTTCTTTGATACATTTTGCTCCATTTTCTCCTCTTTACTTCCTGAACTCTTTTTTTGGTTGAAAATTGTGTCTCCTGAAATGATTTCTTTCTTTACATAGCTTTTTTCTATTATTTTCTTCTACTTTCTGCAACATTTTCTTAAGTGTGTTTTTTTTCTCTAAATGCTTGTTATCTAATTATTTTACGATATTTTAATTACTTGGGTTTTTGTGATAGAGAGTTGCACATTTGATGTCTTTCATTTGCTTTTTTATAAAATGGTAACTGGAAGCACTGTATTTATGTCTACGTATTGCGTGTGTACAAAGAGATCTAAAAGGGAACAGAGACATCTGATTACAGAACAGCCCTCCAAATGCATCGATAGATACAAAAAGAACTGTTCCAGAGATAAATATTTTATAATTTTAAAGTTTTGTACGCAAGTTACAACCTTAGCTGTTTTGCTCAGTGTCTTAAGGGTACTCAAAGTTTTTGTTTGTTTGTTTGTTTTTTAAATTGTGCAGAGGTCAGAAAACCAAGGGTCACGGAACACATTCTAACCACCATGTATTTTTGTACTGACCACAAGCTAAGAAAGATTTTCAATGTTGAAAAAAATCAAAATAAGGTGTTTTGTCACACACACTATATAAAATTCAAAGTTTAATATCTAAACAAAAATTCATTAGAAACCAAAAATTTATGAGAAACGAGCCAGGTTCATTCCTTTACATATTGTCTATGGCTACTTTTGCTCTGCAATGTGTACTACTGGTTGAGTAGCTGTGTCTGAGATCATATTTGTTGTTCTCATTGCTTCACACTGCTGCTGGGCTTACTACAAGTTACAGTGATGGAGTTACAACTGGAAAGCATTTCCAATATGTTACATATTATAGTAGCACTATTTTTTCACATGCTAATCATCAGTGCATATTCATCATGTTGGCATAAGGAAAAATGGACTTCAAATGACATGCTTTTAGGCACAGTGGCATATGGATTATTTTGTTACCTAATTACATGGCAAAACATTTCAGTTATCATGCAGTGACACAAAGAAGACTAAGAACTTATCACAATATTTCCCACTCACAAAACAAATTGTCAGAAAAATAAGACAATTTGAGACAGAATATTTCATCACAGCAAAATTTCTTTACAATTTTTTAAAAGTCAAAATGAGTCTGAAACTACATTAAGTTCCCAAGTGGCTCCCTTGTTAGTTCAGTCGTGAAAGCTACTTACTCAGGGTGACTTACATAATATTTGATTGCAGAAGCTAAAGACATGTATTCACAGAAAATCCATTTGTTTAAGACTATTAACCTACAGTTATAACAGTGGCTTTTTCAGCTGTGTACATTAGGAGCAACATCATTAGTCAATTAAGAAAGAGAAGAAGGATTTTATTACTCAGTTTTTTATTTGTTTGAGAAGTTCTGAGTTTGAAGTGATTGAAGAGTTAACTTTTATGAATAGCCTGCATGGAACAACTACAGGTGAAAATATTTTCATAGAAGTTGAGTACAAGTGCCAGGCGCAGTGGCTCACGCCTGTAATCCCAGCATTTTGGGAGGCCGAGGCGGGTGGATCATGAGGTCAGGAGTTCAAGACCAGCCTGGCCAAGATGGTGAAACCCTGTCTCTACTAAAAATACAAAAATTAGCTGGGTGTGGTGGTGGGTGCTTGTAATCCCAGCTACTTGGGAGGCTGAGACAGAGAATGGCTTGAACCCGGGAGGCGGAGGTTGCAGTGAGCCGAGATCACGCCACTGCACTCTAGCCTGGGCAACAGAGCAAGACTGTCAAAAAAAAAAAAAAAAAAAAGTTGAGTACAATTTAGTACAAACAAATGGAATTTTCTGGGATGAATTATAACTGATGGAGACAAAATTATATAAAAACTTAATTGGTCAAATTTTAAAAGCTTGTGCGAATTTAAAAAATTTAATGCCTATGGTGTTCACTGTGTTATTTATCATCAGTAAGTTACTGCAGAAATTATTTGAATCTAAAATGTGTAATTGAACCAGCTGGATCAGTTGGGGAACTTCATTTGATCTTGTGGACTCAAAGCAACATCAGTTGCTTACTTTCTCTCGGTCAGAAATAGAAGCTGAATATCTGGATTTTCCCTACTGCAGAGAAGTTTGATGGAGTAGAAGTGGTAAATTTTTTGCAGCTTTCTGGGCTCAGGAATGAAATTGAAATCTTTACAAAAGAGAAAAACAGCTCTCAAACACTATTATCAACACTGAATGGCTTTGGAAATTAGTTTTTGCTGCAGATTTTGATAATGTTCTTTAAATGAATTCAAACTAAAACTGTAAAGCCAAAAAAAGTTCTGACAGGCAAAATGTATACTACGATAACGTCATTTAGATGAAAACATACGTTATTTAAATCACCAGTAATGTCAAACTACCATGCTGTCAAAAGTTAAAACAAAAGGTAAGATCATCATTCCCTCAAAAATTTGCAGCAGATAAATTCTCTGAACTTAAACTACAGTTCCAATAGCTTTTTTCAGACCCTGATGCAAGTGCAAAGGAAATTTCCATATTTCAAAATACATTTAACTATTCAATTGAAGAACATCCTCCTTACCTGAAATTGGAAGTGATTAATCTGCAATATAATAACATGCTAAAAGGCAAATATCAATAGAAGAATCTGAATTTGACAAGTTCATTCCAAGATTTAAATAAGCTTAATTAAAATCTTACGTTCATGGATTTATGTATTTGTCATTACCTATCTTTGTTAAAAGATATTTTCAAAGATGAAATAAAAAAAAAAGCTCACCACAGATCATCATTAACAGATGAATATTTGCAATCTATTCTGATGAGAAGGTACACTAACTTTGAATTTTCATTAACTGAAATGTTACACCCTGTATTAGTTTGCCAGGACTGCTGTAACAAAGTAACTCTAATTGGGTGGTTTAAACAACAGAGATTTATTATCTCAGAGATCTGAAGGACAGAAGTTAGAGAACAAGGGGTTGTAGAATTAATTCCTTCTGTGAACTGTGAGAAAGAAACTGTTTTATGTGTCAACCTAAATAACAGACAGAGAGGAAGACTCTCTAAAAAAACGATGTTTATTCAGGAATAGGCATTGTAATGCAAACACACATGCCATAGTAAACTATATGCATATTTAGGGAGGTAAATGAAGATAAAGGTTTTTAAAGGAAAAATGAGGAGAATTACTTAAATGTTTTGAGATAATTATTCTTTGCTATGAGGATCAACAATAAGAGAGGCACCAGTCTGAGGCTGGATAGGCAACTGCTGGGCAGATGTTCTCTCAGAAGTATTTTTTCGTATGAAGTTGTGATGATCTTTGTGCAAGGCTGTGATGTTTGTAGAGACTTCTGTGATAGTTCTCTTTATCAGGCACTTGTGCATGAGGACCCTCCCTTCATGACTTATGACCATAAGTCTTTCTCCCTGATGCATGTTTGTCTTCAGTTTTCCCTTTTCATAAACACACCAACAATACTGGATTAAGGCCCTTTCTAATGACCCCATTTTAACTTAGTTTCTTCTGTAAATCCCCTATCTTCAAATAAGGTAACGTTGGGAGATACTGAGAATTAGTACTTCACCACATGAGTTTTGGAGGGATGCAATTGAATCCATAACTCCTTCCCTCCAGAATAATGTTATTCTTCTTATTAGTAGAACTACATTACAAAATATTATACATTATTATTACTATTATTTTGATTGTGATCCTTAATTTGTGGAAATGTATTACACTATATCTTATTGTATTATTAAATATATTTATACAAAAAACGTGCCCACCGTTATGTAAATTTCACTTGACCCTGATATGTTCAGTTTAGTGCCGCACCTTTGCTCTCCTATTTATCTGATGATTTAGATGCTTGCTACTCTGTGTTTTAAATGTTGATGTAGAGAGAACAGGATTCTTTAACTCAACTCTACTAACTGGGATTTCAGCTTATTGAAACCATGCCAAGTAAACCTGTTTTTGTCTATGTTGTGTGTCTGCAATGTGTATGCCTCCACTCAAGACCTACTACATTAGAAATTCTAGGGTGGAGCCTAGCAGTTTCTATTTCTTTATTTTAACAAACCGTCCAAGTGATTCTGATATGTCCTAAGTTTACACACACACACACACACGCTTACACCATTGTCACCATCATTGCCTGACTATTTTGCTTTTAGTACTGCATTCTCTACAAATTTGTGTGGGTCAAGCCAAACTGTGTGTCATAATTCCAACCCCCTGGCAGGCTGTTGGTGGTGGTTAGGTACTGTTACTGGAAAGGGGTCAAGATGCAGACCCCAGTTGAGGGTTCTCAGATCTCGAGCAAGAAAGAATTTGAGATGAATCCAGAAAGTGAAAGCAAGTTTATTAAGAAAGTAAAAGAATAAAGAATGGCTATTCCACAGGCAGAGCAGCCCCGAGGGCTGCTGGTTGGCTGTTTTTATGGTTATTTCTTGATCATATGCTAAACATAAGGGGTGGATTATTCATGAGTTTTCCAAAAAAGGAGTGGGCCATTGCTGAAACTGAGGGTTCCTCCTGTTTTTAGATCATATGGGGTAACCTTCCAGAAATTTCCATGGCATCTGTAGACTGTCATGGAGCTGTGGGAGTGTCTTGTAGCATGTTAATGTATTATAATTAGCATCTAATGAGCAGTGAGGACAACCAGACATCACTTTTGTCACCATCTTGGTTTTGGTGAGTGTTGGTCAGCTTTTTTATCGCATGCTGTTTTATCAGCAAGATCTTTGTGACCCGTACCTTGCTCTGGCCAGCTGCTATCTCATCCTGTGACTTAGAATGCCTGACTTCTTGGGAATGCAGCCCAGTAGGTCTCAGCCTTATTTTACCCAGCTCTTATTCAAGATGGAGTTGCTCTGGTTCCAACACCTCTGACAGTATTAACAGCTGGCCTCTACCATTCCAGCTCCTATCATTACCAAAGATATTAACAAGCCCAGCTTTGTGACCATGTCTTCGACTATCACTCCTGACCTGCAGACAAACGTTACCACAGAACTTTGCAATTCTGGTATCCCACTCACCAGTGCATTTTTGATGCGCTTAATGAAGAGTGTGTCTTCTGGGATTTCCCTTGAAACACAGTACTCTAGAGGATTTTCAGGTTTTGCACCATATATCCATTCTAGTATACCAACTGTATTTTTATCTTTTCCTCCATCGTCTGCCACAGTGGTTCAGGCATTTCCACTTCACACAGTATGGGCCATCGCTCCTAAGAACTACTACCCCAGTGAGCTTATTGACTTCAGACCTTACAAATCCATGGCCACATATCATGTACTTAAGGCTCTATTAATCTACCCTTAAAAACTGGGGTTTTTGTTAGTGTATTAAATCACAGCCTGAAAGAGTTACTCCCAATTCAAAAACTTTTCAGTGTCAAATATTACGTTCTATTTCCCTTAACCAAGCAACCTCAGAATCCAGTCCCATGCATACTCCCCTGGCTACTGCCAGTACACAGTGACTAAATTCTTGGACCTCCTTTGGGGTATAGTTCTTTCTTTCATTATCTTCACCTGTGATATTTGCCATTTAACCAGAGTTATGACCCAGGAATCCAGGAAAGAAAAGGAGGACAGAGATCCTGAAGAAGGATCTCCTTGCCTTACAGGAAGGAGACTTCCTTAGCATTTTCTCACACTGGAGATTCTTTACTCTTAATAGGGAGGCACTGGCCACTTCTGCAAGTTCTAAGCATAGAGGGCAGTCTAGGAGAGTTCAGTTTTTGGAGTTATTTACCCAGATATTTTCATCACAGTGGTATGACAGATCTCAGCAGATATTCTTCTTGGAGCTTGACAAGTCTATTAAATCCTGAGTTTCGCCTTCAGTTTCTGTGTTCTCCCATCTCTTGTTGTCAATCACAATGTTCCTTTGCCCTTCACACTTAATTTTCATTGTTCATTAACTGCTTTCAGTTTTTTTATTATACCTCTGAGGACATCAATGCAACTCAGTAACAACCAGCCAGTTCTGTTGTCCTTGAATGCACTGTCCCAGTTTTCAAAGCCTTATTTATTGCAAAATGCAGAACATTCCCTCCACTGGGACAATATTCCAAATTGCCCAGTGAATATTTTAAGAGTAGAGCTTTCACATTGTGCAGAAATGAATGTCCCACCTACTGCCTGGGAGGAGTCCTATTGCCAATGAGACAGAGATGATTTAGTCCCCAAATTTCCACCTACCACCTGCTTTTACAAACTTTCCAACTATGCCAATTCAGGACTTACTGGAGGCAGATGTTCATATGGAGTTTGAGTGTGAGAATTTTATTGGGGAGAGAATGCTGTGAAATGAAAAGGGCAGAAGAAGCAGGCCAAGGTGGGAAAAAAATCCTGATTGTGAAGCGAGTGTGACATAAGTGGAAGAAAATGGAAGGGCCAGGTGCGGTGGCTCACACTTGTAATCCCAGCACTTTGGGAGGCTGAGGCAGGCAGATAACTTGAGGTCAGGAGTTTGAGACCACCCTGGCCAACACGGTGAAACCCCGTCTCTACTAAGAATACAGAAAAAGTTAGTCAGCTATGGTGGCGGGTGCCTGTAATCCCAGCTGCTTGGGAGGCTGAGGTGGGAGTATTATTTGGACCTGGAAGGCGGAGGCTGCGGTGAGCCAAAATCACGCCACTGCCCTCCAGCCTGGGCAACAGAGCGAGACTCCATCTCAAAAAAAAAAAAAAAAGAAAAATTGGAAGAGGAAGCAGAATTGAGACCAGGGAGCTTCGGCCTGCAATGTACTTCTGACAATGTCCCAGCAACCCAACAGGCAGTTCTGGAGTAAAAACAATAGCCAGAACCTATTTAGCCCACTGTGCACAGTAATTTGCTGGGAGCAAATGACTGGGAAGCACATGACCTCAACTCAAAATAAGAGACAGATCCAAAGGGCAGTGTAGCTGAAATCTGTCTGTGAAATACACACCTCTTAAAGTTGAAAGACATGTTATTTCTTGAAAGGAGATCCAGGCAGTGAATTCCTGCCATATATCCTCTTATGATCTTACATGCTTATGATTTTATCATGGGCTCTAAAGAAGCAGATATATTCAGATTTGTTTTCAATATGCAAAAAACTATATTTTATACCAAGAGTAAATGGTAGATTGTGAATTCCCTGAAAACTGAGCAAAAATGTCTTTCTATTAATATGCTGAGAGAAAATTCTAAATAGTAAGCCCAAATAATGCTTAAAGTTTATGTACTAGAGCATACAGCATTTTTAATAATATTATTTTCACAGTAAAATTAATGACTTGATTTTTCTTGAATGTTTATTTACTTACATGCAATCAGATTTACCAAGTTGAGATGGGAATTTTTTGAAATGTTTCAGTCACATTAGCTTTTCTTGTTTACATGATAAAATAATTAAGTATAATCTTAGAAAATATTTAATTTTTGGAGCTTCTCTTTTGTGTTTTTTTTGGCTATCAGAAATTTTGCTTGGTTGTCATAAAAAATTGTTCCTTTACTGAGTTACCTACGGAGTCCTGTCAGTTGTTACTCTTCCCAGAGTGTGGACAAATCTGTTCAAGTGAATACAGAGATTGAAACTTATATAATTTTTTTATAAGTGTGGTGATATATAAGAAGACCTCCCCAATCGATTTTACAGTTCTGCCTCTCCTACAGAGATTTTTGCATGTCACAAAGAAACTACTATTGCTATTGAAGTACATACTCACCAAACCACCTAAGCCTAAAGGCTTCTATTTTGTAGCTGAGCATTCAATCAGATGACCCTAGGGTCACTTTTGCTAGTATCAAGTGTAATATAACCACCAAGTATCATCCTTCTATCACAGATGGCAATACATCTCAGAACCATAAAAAAAACAGATGGATAACATTCACAGGTGGCATCCAACTAAATCTATGTATCCGGAGATTGGAAGAACCTAAATTTGAAAAGCCCAGTGGGAATTCTAAAATCAATGTGAGGCTGAACTCAGTACATCAGACTGAGTGTCATAACAGTTCAGGGCCATCATCGCTGCAGTATAAAGAGAACAACTCACTGTGTTAGGCATCTGATTATATTGAATAAGGATCCCATAAATGTAATAAAAATTAAATTAGAAAAAGCTAGTTATCACTACTAAACTGTTACAAATGATATTATTAGAGATCTGTATATACACATATCTCAGAATCAAAGTATTTTTATGAATATTTTAATATTACCCCTTTATTAGAAACTGAAAAATGTTTAATAGCTTTTAGAATACAACCAGTAAATATTTCTACTATTTAATAGGCCTATATTAATGAACTGCCATCCTAGTTCTACAGCTGTATATTTTGTTATTTTTTTCTAATATTCCCAGGCAACAGTAATAACTTATTTATATTCTTTCAGTATAAAAAGTAAAAATTTTCTAAAGAATTTAAAATAAAAGGGGAAAAATACATACTAAGTGGCCTAATAGAGTATAAATTTCACGACCATTTGAGCACTTGCAGGAGTTCTGAGCTGGCAAATAAAAACTCTTCCAAAGGAATCTTATAGCTCCTTAGATTCTCAATGGGGTGTGTGTGTGTGTGTGTGTGTGTGTGTGCGCGCATGCACACACACGTCCACGAGTGCACAAGAGAGAATAAACTATACGTAGACATAATTGTCAAACTTTTGCTCAGTTTTAGTCTGAATGGTAAAATATTAAACAATAATGAGTATAATTTCCAGATTATTTCTAGCTTCTAGGAAAATAAATTATCAACTAAATAGAGAAAAAACGAAAATCTTGTTAATGCTTAATGCTATTCTGTAATTTAAAAATTTTCTAGAAAAAAATTTAGATTTATAAAGAAATTAAGCAAATACTGTAGAGTGTACCCACATATCCCACTCTCCCACAGGGTTTTCCCTGTTATTAATATCTTATATTAGCGTGTTGCATCTGTTACTATTAATGAATCACTATTGATAAATTATTATTAATGGAATTCCATTGTTTACATAAAAGTTAACTCTTTGTGTTATACAGTTCCGCACTGTGTGTTTCGAGAAATGCATAGTGTCATCTGTATGCCACTATGGTATCACACAGTATGGTTTCACCACTATAAATATCCTCTATGCTTTACACATTTATCATTCCCCTGTCCCAAACCCTGGAAAACTATAGATCTACACAGATTACTGTCTCCATAGTTTTGCTTTATCCAGAATGTCATATAGTTGGAATCATACAGGATATAGTCATTTCAGGTGATCTTCTTTCTCTTAGTAATATGCATTTTGTATTGTGTATTTCATGCCTTGAGAGCTCATTTTTTTAAATCACTGAATAATTTGATTGTAGATCGAAACAAAACTCTAACACTTTGTTTAACTATTCTCCTGTTGAAACAACCTATTGGACATTTGGTTGCTTCAAGTTTGGAGCACTTATGAATAAAGCTGCTATAAACATTTGTGTGCAGGCAATTTTATAAAATAAATTTTTAACTTTTTGGGCAAGTGCCTAAAAATGTGATTGCTGGATAACAGGAGAAGTGTATATTTAGCTTTGTAAAACACTGTCAAATTGTCTTCCAAAGTGATTACAACATTTTGCATTACTACCAACAATGAATGAGAATTTCTGTTGCTCCACATCCTCCTTGGCATGTGGAATTAGCAGAGTTTTAGATTTTACCAGTTCTAGAGTGTGTATACTCGTATCACATTATTTTTTTAAATTGCAATTTCATAATAGCATATGATATTAAGCATCATTTCATATGCATGTAACCTGCATACCTTTTTTGATGAACTGTTTGTTCAGATCCTTTGCTCATTTTTTGGTTGGACTGTTTGTTTTCTTATTGAAAATTGAGATTAACAAGTTATTTGTATATTTTAGACATCATACTTGTATCAGATATATGTATTGAAAATATTGTTCTTCCACATTATGGGCATTATTTTCCTTCTTCCAATAGTGTATTTCTCAGAAAAGAAGTCTTTAATCTTAATAAAGTTCAACTCATCAATTGTTTCTTTAATGGATCTCATTTTTGGTATTAATTACTAACAACTTCTCAACAAATCTCAGGTTTTTAAGATTTTTTTTCTATGATATCTTTTAGAAGCGTCATAATTTTATATTTTACATATAGGTTGATGATACATTTTGAAGTATTTTTTGTGAAAAATATAAGATCTATATCTGGATTCTTTTGTTTTGCATATACATGTCAAACTGTTCAAACACCTTTTATTGAGAAGGCTACCCTTTCTCCATGGAGTTACCTTTGCTCCTTTGTCAAAGATCAGTGGACTACATTTGTGTGGGCTTCTTTCTAGGCTCTTTTTTCTGTGCTAGTAATCAGCTTGTCTATCCTTTTGTCAACATCACACCATTGTGATATTTATAGTAAGTCTTGATGTGGGATAATACCAGTCATCTGACTTTGTTCTTATTTAGTTTTGTGTGTGTATTGTGTGTCTTTTGCTGTTTCATTTATAAGTCATAATCAGTCTGTTGTTATCCACAAAACAATCTCCTGAAATTTCAAATCATATTGAGTTGAATCTATTCACCAATTCGGGAAAAAAATGACATCTTAAAACTATGGAGTCTTTCTGTCCAGGAACATAGAATATCTCGTTTATTTAGATCATCTCCAATTTATTTTATCAGAGTTTTGCAGTTGTCCTCATAAAGATACTGTTAGATCTACACTTAAATATTTCATTTGTAAATGACATTGCATTTTAACTTCAAATTCCAATTGTTCATTGCTAGATTATAAAAAAGGAATTTTGATTTGTATATTAACCTTATATTTTGCAAGTTTGTTATAATTCCTTATTAGTTCCAGGAGAAATAATAAGAGATTCAGAGAATAAGGGAATATTTTTGTTGATTTTCTGGAATTACAGACACATCTGAGAAGGACAATACTTTTATTTCCTCCCTTCTATATACCTTTTATTTTATTTTCTGGTCTTATTGCCTCAGCTAGGACTTCTGGTATCATGTTGAATAAGAGTAGTGAGTACGGATCTTTCTTTGTTCTAAATCATAAGAAAAAACCTTCTAGTTTCTCACCTTTAATTTGAGGTTAGCTGTATTTTTCTGTCTTTTTGTCTTTAGAGATTTTTTTTTGAGTTAAGGAATTTCCATTTATTTCTCAGTTTGCTGAAAGCTCTGATCATAAATGGGTATTGGATTTTATCAAATACTTTTCTCTGTGTATGTTGATATTTTCCTATGATTTTTCCTCTTTAGCATTCCTTCATTATCTTTTTAATATGCATGAGATCAATAGTGAAGTCTCCTTTTTGCTTCTAGTATTAAAAAATGTGCTGCTTCTCCTTTTTTATTGGTTTGCATGGCCAGAGGTCCACTACATTTATTGATATTTTCAAAGAATCAGCTTTGGTTTTGTTGAATTTCTTTATAATTCTTTTTTTCAATTTCACTAATTTTGCTTTAATATTCATATTTTCTTCTATTTTATTTGCATTGAACTTGCTCTTTCCTTTTTCTTAACATTATTGATTTTAAGTGTTTTTTATACATGCATGCAATATTATATACATTTGCCTTTAATTACTGGTTTTTCTGCATCCCAGAAATTTGATCAATTGTATATTCATTTTAATTCAGTTCAAAATATTTACAATTTCTCTCGAGATTTGTTTGTCCAATGTGTCATTTAGAAAACTGTCCTTTCATCTCCAAATATTTAGTATTTCCCAGCTATCTTTCTGTTACTGAGTTCCAGTTTAATTGCACTGTAGTCTGAGGGCATATATTATGTAAGTTCATTTTTTAAAAACTTAAGTTCATGGGTATATGTTCAGGTTTGTTAAACAGGTAAACATATGTCATGGAGGTTTATTGTGCAGATTATTTTATCACCCAGGCGTTAAGCTTAGTACCCATTAGTTATTCTTCCTAATCTTCTCGCTCCTTCTACTCTCCACCCTCCGATATGCCCCAATGGATGTTGTTCCCCAATGTGTCCATGTGTTCTCATCATTTAGCTACCACTTATAAGTGAGAACTTCCAGTATTTGGTTTTCTGTTCCTGCATTAGTTTGCTAAAGATAATGGCCTCTAGCTCTACCCATGTTCCTTCAAAGGACATGATCTTATTCCTTTTTATGACTGCATAGAATTCCACAGTATAAATGAACCACATTTTTCTCTATTCAGTCTATCATTAATGAACATGTAGGTTAATTCCATGTCTTTGCTATTGTGAATAGTGCTGCAATGTACATACATGTGCATGCATCTTAATAATAGAACAATTTATATTTCTTTGGGGAAATAGCCAGTAATGGGATTGCTGGCTCGAATGGTATTTCTGTCTTTATGTCTTTGAGGAATTACCACACTGTCTTCTACAATGGCTGAACTAATTTGCACCCCCACCAACAGTGTATTAGCATTTTTTTTCTCCACAACCTTACCAGCATCTGTTATTTTTTGAGTTTTTAATAACAGTCAGTCTGACTGGTGTGCGATGATATGTAATTGTGGTTTTTATTTGCATTTCTCTAAAAATCAGTGATGTTGAGTTCTTTTTTTCATATGCCTGTTGGCCACATGTATGTCGTCTTTTAAGAAGTGTCTGTTCATGTCTTTTGCCTACTGTAAATTTTTTTTTGCTTTCTTCTTGTACTTTAGTTTAATTTCCTCATAGATGCTGGATACTAGATTTTTGTCAGATGCATAGTTTGCAAAAATTTTCTCCCATTCTGTAGGCTGTCTGTTTACTTTGTTAATAGTTTCTTTTGCTATGTGGAAGCTCTTGTTTAATCAGATCTCATTTATCAATTTTTACTTTTGTTGCAATTGTTTTTGGTGTGTTTGTCATGAAACCTTTTCTTGTGCCCATGTCCTGAATTGTATTGCCTAGGTTGTCTTCCAGGGTTTTGGTAGTTTAGGGTTTTACTTTTAAGTCTTTAATTGATCTGGAGTTAATTTTTGTATAAGGTGTAAGGAAGAGGGGCAGTTTCAATGTTCTGCATATATCTAGCCAGTTATTCCAGCACCATTTATAGAAGAGCCAGTTATTCCAGTGCCGTTATTAGAGAATAATGCTTTCCCCATTGCTTGTTTTTGTCAGGTTTATCAAAGATCAGATGGTTGTAGGTGTGCGGGTTCTCTATTTTGTTCCACTGGTTTACGTGTCTGCTCTTGTACCAATACTAGGCTGTTTTGGTTAATGTAACCCTGTAGCTTGAAGTTAGGTAGCATGCTGCCTCCAGCTTTGTTCTTTTTGCTTAGGGTTGCCTTGACTATTTGGACTCATTTTTGGTTCCACATGAATTTTAAAATAGTGTTTTTCTAGCTCTGTGAAGAATGTCGATGGTAGTTTAATGAGAATAACATTGAATTTATAAATTGCTTTGAGCAGTATGGCCACTTGAATGATATTGATTCTTCCTATCCATGGTCACACAATGTTTTTCCATCTGTTTGTGTCATCTCTGATTTCTGTGAGCAGTGGTTTGTAATTCTCCTTATAGATATTTTACCTTATTAGTTAGCTGTATTCCCAGGTATTTTATTATTTTTGTGGCAATTGTGAATTGGAGGTTGTTCATGATTTGCCTCTAGCTTGACTGCTGTTTGTGTGTAGGAATGATAGAATTTTTGCACATTAATTTTGTATCCTGAGTGTTTGCTGAAGTTGTCTATCAGCTTAAGAAGCTTTGGGGGTGAGACAGTGGGGCTTTTAGATATAGGATCATGTTGTCTGCAAACAGCAACAGTTTGATTTCTCTCTCCCAATTTAAATGCCCTTTATTTCTCTATTGCCTGAATGTCTTGGCCAGGACTTCCAGTCCTATGTTAAATAGGAGTGGTGAGAGAGGGCCTTCTTGCCTTGTGCTGATTTTCAAAGGGAATGTTTCCAGCTTTTGCCTCTTCAGTATGATGTTGGCTGTGGGTTTGTCATAAATGGCTTTTATTATTCTGAGGTATGTTCCTTCAATATCTAGTTTATTGAGAGTTTTTAACATGAATGGATGTTGAATTTTATCGAAAGAATTTTCTGCAACTATTGAAATAGTCATGTGGTTTTTGCCTCTAGTTCTGTTTATGTGATGAATCACATTGATTGATTTGCAGATGTTGAACCAACCTTGTATCCTGGGGATGATGCTTACTTGATCATGATGACTAAGCTTTTTGATGTGCTGCTGGATTCAGTTTGCCAGTAATTTGTTGAGGACTTTTGCATTGATGTTCATCAAGGATATTGGCCTGGAGTTTTCTTTTTTTGTTGCGTCTCTGCCAGGTTTTGGTATCAGGATGATGCTGGCCTCATCGAATGAGTTAGGGAGGAGTGCCTCCTTTTCAATTTTTTGGAATAGTTCAGCAGGAATAGTACCAGTTCTTTGTACATCTGGTAGAATTCAGGTGTGAATCTGTCTGGTCTTGGACTTTGTTTGGTTGGTAGGCTATGTATTACTGCCTCAATTTCAAAACTTGTTTTTGGTCTATTTGGGGATTCCTTTTTTCCCCCCATCCCTTTATTTTGAGCCTATTCCCCTCCCTCTGGGAGCTCTATTCCAGGAAATTTTCAAAACTCTAGAGGTTCCAGTTGGGAGGTCCCACCCAGTGAGGAGAAAGGATCAGGGACCTGCTTAAGGAAGCAGTCTGACCACATTTTTGTAGAACTGTGATAGGGGATCCCTTCTGCCCCATTTCAGTTTGGACTCTCCAAAGCCCACAGGTTGGAATGTCATCCACATAACAAAGATGGTGGCCTGTCCCTCCCCATAGGAACTCTGTCCCAGGTAGGAGTGACACTGTTGCTGGTGTTTGGCTGGAATTTCACACCAGTGGGTCTAATCCTATGAGGCACTGTGGAAGTGGGGATCCAGACTGTCGCTGACCAGCCCATTGGATTCAGCCCCCTTCCTGGGGGTATGTACAAAGTTCCAACCTTCCACCTTGCCAGAGTTGCAGTCAGTTTTGCCTGGAAGCCAGGTGCTGGAGTATGTTAAGCTCCTGAGTCTCTGCGTGTGCCTGAGTGGCTACTCTGCCAAGACTCCAGGCAGCTGTGTGTGTCAGACTGAAGGCCCTGATGGAGTGGGTTCATGATGGAATCTCCTTACCAGAGGGTTGAAAACATCTGTGGGAGAGGCTTGGTTTCTCTGAGTTGCACATTCACTTACTGCTTCCCTGGGCGGGGGATGTTCACCTGGCTCTGTGTTGCTCCTGGGTGAGCTTTTATCCTGTCTTGCTTTTCTTTGTTCTTCATGGGTCGAGTTGTTTCCTTGATTAGTCCCAGTGTGACTACCTGGATGTTTCAGTTGAAGGTGATGTATTTACTTGCCCCTTTCATTCCTCTCTGTGAGAGCCACACACCATAGCTGCTTCTAGTTCAGCCACCTTGGCCCGAATCCCTATGTAAGCTCTATTCCTTTAAACTAGTTAAAGTTTATTTTATGACCCAGAATGTATTCTATTTTGGGCAATGTTCCATGTGAGCTTAAGAAGAATGTGAATTCTGCTGTTTTGGGAAGGGGTATCCTATAAATGTCAATTACATACAATTGATTGATGATGTTGTTCAGTTCAACTACACTTTTGATAATTTCTGTTTAATGGATCTATTAATTACTAACATGAGGGTGTTAAAGCCTTCAGCTGTGATCATGCATTTGCCTGTCTCTTCTTGCCTTTCAATCACTTTTGCTTCAAATGTTTTGATGCTTCATTCTTAGACACCTATACATTAATCATTGTTATATCTTTGTGGAGAATTGATTTCTTAATAATTATGTAATGCCCTCTTTCATTCCTGATAATTTTCCTTGTTCTTAAGTCGGCTGTGTCTGAAATTAATACACCTATGCTAGCTTTCTTTTGATTTGTGTTAGCATGATATAACCTTTACCATTGCTTTACTTTTAACCTGTATCTTGATAAAGTAGGTTTCTAAAACAATAAACAGTTGGGTTTAAAAAAATTCTCTGAAAATCTCTTTTAATTAGCATATCTTGATCATTCACATGTAAAGTGATTACTGGTATAGCTGTATTAATATCTAAGTATTCTTAACTTTTGTAGTCATAATACTTGTTCCTTTTTTTCTTTTTTTAAACATGCCTTCTTTTTCTGTCTTCTCTGGTTTTAATTCAGTATTTTATACAATTTCATAGTTTCTCCCTCTTAGCATATTAAGTCCTCACTTAATGTCACTGATAGGCTCTTGGAAACAGTGATTTTAATTGAAGCAAATTTTTTCTCATCAATGTTATAAGAAAAAAAACTGAACAAGATGATACTATTCCAGAAACTGTTGTATTCGATTTTACTTAAAGTCACTATTTCTAAGAACTTACTGATGATATTAAGTGAAGACTTATTATACATATCTTAAAATACATATTAGTAGTTACCCTAGAGTTTGCAGCATACAATTAAAAATGCTGTAAGTTTACTTTCAAATAACATTATACCACTTCATAGATAACACAGGTACTTTAAAATAGAATAGTCCCAGTTATTTCCTCTTAGCCCTCATAATAATGCTGTCACTCACTTCACTTATCTATAAGCTACAATCACCAAATACATTATTGCTGTTATTTTTTTGAGCACAGAACCACTTACTAGTTCAATGAAGATTAAAAATAATGCATGATTTTATTTTACCTTCTGTATGAGTCCATTCTCACACTGCTAAAAATAACTACCTGAGACTGGGTAATTTATGAAGAAAAGAGGCTTCATTGGCTCACAGTTCTGCAGGCTTAACAGAAAGCATGACTTGCGGGTCTCAGGAAACTTAAAATCATGGCAGAAGGCAAAGGAGAGGCAAGGCAAGGCATTTCTTCTCATAGCAGCAAGAGAGAGTGAAGGAGGAAGTGCCACACTTTTAAACCATCAGATCTTGTGAGAACTCACACACTGTCACAGAGAACAGCATGGGAGAAATCTGCCCTTATAATACAGTCACCTCCCACCAGGTCCTACCTTTGACATGGGGCAATTAAAATTCCACATGAAATTGGGGTGAGGATACACAGCCAAACCATATCACCTTCATTTATTCCTTCTCGTATGCCATTTTCTGCATGTATGCTAGAGTTTCTGACCTATATCATTTAACTTTTCTCACAAAGAATATGTTTGGAAAAATATTATTTTTTAATTTGCCTAAGTAAGCCTTAATAGTTTTCACGTTTGAGGAGAATTTCACTGGAAATGGAATTTTAGATTGGTCATTTTTTTTGTTTTGTTTTGTTTTGTTTTCAGTCAACACTTTAAATATTTCACTGACTCTCTTCTTGCTTTCCTGGTTTTGGAACAGAAAGGCAATATAAGTTCATCCTTGCTCCTCCATAAGTAAGGTCTGTTTGTGCTCCCTCACCTTCCCATCCTAAGCTTCTGCCAATATTTTCTCTTTGAGTTTGTTTTTATAGTGTGAGTATGACATGGACAGATGTAGATTTTTGTTACTTTTTTTTGTTGTTATTTATCCTGCTTGGGGTTTTCTGGGCTTCCTGGGTCTGTGGTTTGGTGTCTGTCATTAATTTTAATTTTGGAAAGTCTTCTGGCATTATTACTTCATGTATTTCTTCTGTTCCTTTCTCTTTCTTCTCCTATGGTTATTTCTGTTATGCATATGTCACACCTTTGGTGATTGTCCTATAGTTTTTGGCCATTCTCTTTCATTTTTTTCAATTATTATTTTTTTCTTCTTTGTTTGAAAATGACAATTGTTATACCATCAGGCTCACTGACTCCTTCCTCAACTATGTCTGGTCACCTGAAGATCCCGCCAAAGGTGTTCTTTATTTCTGTCAGTGTTTTTTATTTCTAGTGTTTTATTTTAATTTATCTTAGATTTTCCATCTATCTGCTCACATTACCCATATATTCTTATATGTTGTTTACTTCTCCTATTAGAGACCTTAGCATAATAATAATTTTCATTTGAAAGCCCTTATCTAGTAATTTCAAATTGGTGTTGTATCTGAATCAGCTCTGATGTATGCTTTGTTTCTCCAAACTTTTTTCTTGGTTTTTAACATACCTAGAAACTGTTGGGTCCTAGCTCACTACCTGGGTGACAGGATCACTGATATCACAAATCTCAGCATCACATCCATATTACACACCTGCACATGTTCTCTTTGAATCTAAAATAAAAGTTGAAATTGTTGAAAAAAAAAAGCACCTAAACTAATTTATCTGGTAATAGAAACTGAAGTAATTAGAGCTGTAGTTTTATTTGAAGTTTTATTCTGATCTGTCTAGGAATGGGACTACATTTAATATTTGCTGTAGCTGCAAATAAGGCTCTGGTAAGGTAGCTTCTCTTAGGGGCAGGATTTTGTTGGAGAAAGATCTTGTCATATTTTTAAATGATGACTTACTTTCGTGCTTCCCCTGCTTGAATCACAAGGGAATTTTTCTCCATCCAACCGCAAGAATCTTGTGAAGCTCCTGAAGGTAAAACTCATGAAAATGTAGGGCGGATTCCCTTAAGACTGGGACCCCAGAAGCTTTTAATTCTAAAGCAGTCCACAGTCTCCAGCAACTCGTCAGTACAGTTTAAATTTCAGTGTTTCTACCAGGTACTGGCTCCAGTGACTTCTGCTCAGGATAAACTGATCTCAGCTGTGATTATATGTATTTGCCTGTCTACCCACTTTTCAGAGTGGACTTTTCTCTGTGACCTCAACTTTCTGATGGACCTAGGAAAAGTCAATGATTTTTAGTTTATTTAGGTTTAATTGTTGCTGTTTTGTTTTGGGATCAAAAATGATAACTTTCAAGCTTTTTATGTATTGGAACAGAAACAAAAGTATCCAATAAGTTTTTAATGGCTACTTTTTTCTTATTTTAGAGGTTGACAAATGGGATGAAATCTTTGATAGGCAATAAACTTATTTATTAATTTATTATTTATTAATATGTTTAGAGAGTCAGGGGATACATGTGCATGTTTGTTAAATGGACATATTTTGTAGTGGTGAGATTTGGGCTTCTAGTGTACCTATTTCCTGAGTAGTAAACATTGTACCCAACAGGTAATTTTTCAACCCTCACACTCTTATACCCTCACATGTTTGGTGTCCCCAGTGTCTATTACTCCCCTCTGTATGTTGGTGTGTACCCATTGTTTAACTCTTACATATAAGTGAGAACATGCAGCATTTGATTTTCCCTTTTTTATGAGTCATTTTACTTAGGATAATGGCCTCCAGCCTCATTCATGTTGCTGCAAAAAAGACTATTTCATTATTTTTTATGGCTGCATAGTATTCTGTGGCATATATATACCACATTTTCTTTATCAGATCAGCTGTTGGTGTACACATAGGTTGATTGCATGACTCTGCTCTTATGAATACTGCTGCAATAAACATACCAGTGCAGATGTCTTTTTGATATAATGATTTATTTTCCTTTGGATACATACACAGTAGTGGGACTGTCAGATCAAATAGTAGTTCTATTTTAAGTTCTTTGAGAAATCTCCATACTTTTTTTCATAAGGGTTGTTCTAATTTACATTTCCACTAAGAGTGTAAAAGTATTCTCTCTTCTCTACAGCCTCCCCCAACATCTATTATTTTTTGTTTTTTTAATAGTAGCCATTCTGATTGATGTGAGATGTTATCTACTTTAGGTTGTAATTTGCATTTCCCTAATTATTAGTGATGTTGAGAATTTTCTTTCATGATTATTGCCCATATGTATGTCTTCTTTTGAGAAATATCTTTTTTTGTCTTTTGCCCACTTTTTTTTTTTTTAATGGAGTCTCACTCTGTTGCCCAGGCTGGAGTGTAATAGTGCGATCTTGGCTCTCCACAACCTCAGCCTCCCAGGTTCAAGAGACTCTCCTGCCTCAGCCTCCCTAGTAGCTGGGATTATAGGCACCTGACACCACGCAAGGCTGATTTTTGTATTTTAAGTAGAGATGAGGTTTCATCATGTTGACCAGGCTGGTCTCGAACTCCTGACCTCAGGTGATCCACCCACCTCAGCCTCCCAAAGTGCTGGGATTACAGGCATAAGCCACCATGTTTGGCTGCCCACTTTTTAATAGGTTCATTTGGGGTCCTTAAATTGTCATTAACTAGAGTTCCTTGTACATTTGAGATATTAGTCCTTTATCAGATGAATAGTTTGCAAGTATTTTCTCTCCTTCCGTAAATTGTCAGTTTAGTCTATTGATTATTTTTTTTGTTGTGCAAAAGTTTTTTAGTTTAATTAAGTCCTATTTGTCTATTTTTGCTTTTGTTGCATTTGGTTTTGAGATTTTAGTCATAAATTCTTTCTGAGGCGAATGTCCAGATGAGTTTTTCCTAGCCTTTCTTCTAGTATTTTTGTAGTTTCAGGTCTTACATTGAAGTCTCTAATGTACCTTCGATTAATTTTTATATATGTAATTTTTATATATGTACCTTCGGTTAAATTTTACAGATGTGGAAGATATGGGTTCAGACTCATTTTTTTGTGTGTGGCTATCCAATTTTCTCAACACCTTTACTGAATAAAATATCATTTCTCCATTGTATATTTTTGTTGACTTTGTCACAGATCAGTTGCTTATAGGTATATGGCTTTATATCTGGGTTTTGTATTCTGTTCCTTTGATTAATCTGTCTATTTTTGTAACAGTACCATGCTGTTTTGGTTACCATTGCCTTGTAGTATAATTTGAAGTCAGGTAATGTAATGCCTCTAACTTTGTGCCTTTTGCCTAAGATTACTTTCGCTATAGGGGCTTTTTAAAAATTTTAATATAAATTTTAGGTTTCTTATTTCTAATTCTGTGAAAAATGACAATAATTTTAAAGGAATTGTGCTAAATTTCTATATTGCTTTGGGTAATATTGCCATTTTAATATTGATTTTTCCAATTCAAGAGCATGGAATGTTTTTCTAGTGTACCCATCTATGATTTGTTTGTATCATCTATGATTTCTTTAATCAGTGTTTTATAGTTATCCTTGTAGAGATTTTTCACATTCTTGGTTAAATGTATTCATAAGTATTTTTTTTTTTGTGGCTAGTGTAAATAGGATCGAGTTCTTGATTTGGTTTTCAGCTTGAACATTATTGGTATAGAGAAATGCTATTAACTTTTTTACATTGATTTTATAACCTGAAACTTTACTTAAGTAAGTTATCAAGTCTAAGAGTCTTTCAGAAGAGTCTTTAGGGTTTTCTAGGTATAAGATCACACCATCAGTGAGCAAATATAGTTTGACTGCCTCTTTTCCAATTTGGATGCCTTTTAACTCTTTCTTCTGTTTGATTACTCTGGCTAGGACTTCCAGTACTGTGTTGCATAGGAAGGGTGAGAGTGGGTATTCTTGGCTTGTTCAAGTTCTTATGAGAAATGCTTTCAACTTTTCCTCATTCAGGATAATGTTGGCTGTGGGTTTGTTTTATATGGCTGTTATTATTTTGAGGGATGTACCTTGATGCTTAATTTGTTGAGGGTTTTGATAATGAAAGTATGATGGACTTTTTAAATGTTTTTTCTGCATCTATTGCTTTGATCATAAGTTTTTGTTTTTAATGGTTTGGTTTATTCTTGTTTTTCCAGTTCCTTGTGGTGCAACATTTGGTTTTTAATTATAGATTTTTCTAGCTTTCTGATACAGGCATTTAATATTACAAACTTTTCTATTAACACCACTTTTTTTGTATCCTAGAGGTTTTTTTTTTAATATGTTGTGTCTCTATTCTCATTTTTTTTTTAAATTATTACTGCATTAATCTTATTGTTTACCCAAAGATCATTCAAGAGTAAGTTGTTTGATTTCCATATATTTGTTTGAGAGTTCCTCTGGGTATTAATTTCTAATTTTATTCCACTGTGGTTAAAGAAGATGCTTGGTATAATTTCAATTGTTTTAAATATAATGAGGCATGCTTTATCTCCAAGAATATGGTCTATTTCAAAGAATGTTCCATGCACAGATGAGAAAAATGTATATTGTATGATTGTTGGGTAGAAAAACAATCACAGAGTATACATTATATGATGTAAATGCCTCTTAGGTGCATTTGTCTTAGAGTCCAATTTAATTCCAAGGTTTCTTTGTTGATGTTCAGTGATGATGATCTTTCTAGTGCTGTCAGTGGGGTGTTGAAGTTCCCCAATATTATTTTACCGTTTTCTGTCTCTTTTATTAGGTCTAGTAGTATTATTTTATGAATCTTTGTGTGCTAGTGTTGGCTACATATATACTTATGGTTATTGTATCTTCTTGAATTGAATCCTTTATTATTTTCCAGCGACCTTCTTTGTCTTTTTTCACTGATGATTTAAAGTATGATTAATCTGATATATGTATAGCTAATCCTGCTTTTTTAAAATAATGTGTGTGGTATATCTTTTTCTACCTCTTTATCTTAAGAATCTTTACTGATTAGTAAAGTTTCTTGTAGGCCACAAATGGTTGGATCTTGTGTTGTAAATCCAATTTGGCAATTTATATCATTTAAGTGCACTACTTAGACTATTTATCTTCCAGGTTAATATTGATATGTGAAGTTTTGTTTCTGTCATAATGTTAATTGTTACCTGTTGCTTTGTAGTCTTAATTGTGTAATTTATTTATAGGAGCTTTGTACTTTCATGTGCTTTTATGATGGCAAGTATCTTCCTTTCATTTTCATGTGTAGAACTCCTTTGATCATTTCTTGTTGGTGAATTCCCTTAGTTTTGGCTTGTCTGGGAGATACTTTATTCCTCCTTTATTTATTAGGCTTAGTTTGGCAAGATATAAAATTCTCAGATGGCATTTATTTTTTCCTTTAAGTAGACTGAAAATAGGCCCTCATTTTCTAATGGTTTGTAAGGTTTCTGCTGAGAAGTCCACTTTTAGTCTGAGGAGACTTCCTTTATAAGTAATTAGATGGTTCTCTTTTGCTGCTTAAAGATTTTTTTCCTTTATGTTTACTTTGGATAGTCTGACTATATGCCTTGCTGAGTTTTCTCTTCAGAGTATCTGTCAGGCATTCTCTGTGCTGCTTTTCTCTCTCTGTCTAATTCTCTATCTAGACCTGGGATATCTTCCTGAATTGTTCCATCAAATACATTTTCAAAGTTTTTTAATTTTTCTTTTTCTCCATTAGAAGTGATTATAACTTTTAGGTTTGGTCACTTTACACAATTCTATACTTCTTGAAGTTTGTGTTCATTTCTTAATTCATATATATACACATATATATATGTAATCTGACTGGGTTAATTCAAAGGATCGGTCTTCAAGCTCTGATATTCTTTCTTCTCCTTGGTATCGTTAAAGTTTGCAACTATTTTTTGTTAATTTACTCAATGAATTTTTCTTTCCCAGAAGTTGTTGTTTTTTAAAAAAAATCTATTTATTTAGTAAATATTGTATTCATATTATGAGGTTTTTTTGTTTTGTTTTGTGTGTGTGTTTGTTTTCAACTTTCTCTTGGATCTCGTTGAACTTCCTTATAATCTGTATTTTGAATTATTTATCTGTCATTTCAGAATTTTCACTTTGGTTAGGATCCATTGCTAAGGAGCTAGTGTGATCCTGTAGGATGTCAAAACACTGTTTTGTATGCGTGTGTGAGTGCTGATATAGTTCTTGTGCTGATTCCTTCTCATCTGGAGAAGCTGTCACTTCTTATTTTTGATTTTACTCTCATTTCAGTAGGACTATGTTTTTTCCTTTTCATGGTGTGACTGTAATGTATGTTGTGTATTATTGCTTGGCTTTTATTCCAGATCCTTTCAGGGGGCCTTGGGTCTGTATGAGTTCCTTGATTATAGATGGCTTTTGTGCAATAGATTTCTCAAATGCTGATTGTAGCAGCAATGTATTGGGTGTATGAGTAGGTTCACTCTTTTTCTGTGAGACTAAGAGTGCAGAGATCTCAAAAAGTTTATCTCATTCCCCAGCACTATGCTCTTTTGTCAGCAGGCTTTTTACTTGGTTGTACATTCTGATCTCCAGACCATTTCACACCTTGTGCAGAGGGAACCAGATCTATTATAGGGGAGAGTTTTGACAAATAGGTACATTAAAGTAAAATAATTGAAAACTGTCAGGTTACTTGCAAACAACTCTGTAACTACTGGAATAAGGCAGAATGCTATCATTCTAAAATTTAACACCATTAGTTCAATAGAAAATACCATAGTATTTCAGTGACAACAGATTAGTTATGTTCTTCAACTTTGAAGATTATTTAAAAATATTCATATCTTCAGCAAAGGGAAAGAAAGAGGTTTAAAGTGTATATGCACTCATGCCACTGCTATCATCCTTCAAACTGCAATTATGCTTCACCTATATTGAAACAAGAGCATCCTTTGTCCTTCATTTTAATCTTGACCTCTCCATGTCAATTGATTCTGCAAAACTGACAAATCTTATCACATCCCAATTTAAGATTGCAAAAATTTCTCATTCCAGTTTCTATAAGCTTAACCTTTTTTATAAATGGCTAGTTGGGAGTAATATTACCTAGAATTCTGTTTAACTCTCAAACCTTATTGGTCCTTGTTTCGTCATGAAATCTTTGCCTGTGCCTATGTCCTGAATGGTATTGCCTAGATTTTCTTCGAGGGTTTTTATAGTTTTGGGTTTTACATTTAAGTCTTTAATTGATCTTGACCTAATTTTTATATGAAGTGTAAGGCAGAGATCCAATTTCAATTTCCTGCATATGGCTAGCCAATTCTCCGAGCACCATTTATCAAATAGGGAATCCTTTCCCCATTGCTATATGCAGCACTTTTTATATTATTGAAAACCCCCAGTTAGACTTTAGAGTTGCTGCATGCTAGTCCTTCAGCTCAGAATATTTAGTGCTGTTTTTCTTGCTTCTGCACAATTTTTTCAGTTAGCTGTTACTATTAAATAAATGGCCCCAAACACAGTAGTACAAAACTACAAATTATTGTTTCTAATGTTTCTGTGATTCTGTGGAAGGGCTAAGAGGTTGTTTTGTTTTGCATTGTCTTAGCTGGGCCTGAATGATCTCCCACTAACTCACTTACATATCTGGGTGACACAGTTTGGCTCTGTGACCCCATCCAAATCTCATTTCGAATTGTAATCTCCACATGTCAAGGGAGGGAGGTGACTGGATCCTGGGAGTGGTTTTCCACATGCTGTTCTCATGATAGTGAGTGAGTTTTCATGAAATGGTTTTATTAGCGTCTGGCACTTCTCCTGTAAGCACTTTTCAAATCTCTGCTTGTGGCCATTTTTGTTATTGCCCCACTGGCAAAAGCAAGTCATATGCCAATCCAGACTTGGAAGATGCGGAAATCAACCCCACTCATCAATAGGGGAAGTAGTGGCAAAGTCACAGCACAAAAAGATGTATACAAACGGATTAGAGGCGTCATTGCAGCTTTTTTTGAAAATGATCTTCCACATCAATCTTTTAGCCTCCCTTCAAGTTTCTCTTCTTTAAGATGAAGTTTAGGAAGAACCTACTCATCCCATCCATAAGTTTTGTGTGACTTCCTACTCTCAGAGAATCTTTTATTGTTTTCCTTTCTGGCATTAATTATATTTATCAGCAAATATTTTAGAACTTGTGTATGTATTAATGCTTATCCAGTATAATCAAGTCAACTCAGTGTCTACTGAGCTGGCAATGCTCAATATTTTTTTAAATGAATGAATGATTGAATTCTACCAATGGGTGAGGCATGTCAGTCTTTAGTGGAACAAAAACTGAACATTTTTTAAAGTAATGAAAATTAATAATTAAGCATAAAATGTGTGTTTTTGTATGTGTGTGTGGATGATAAGTAGATTTTTACATTTTCAACATTGTGTTGGTTACACAATTCTATTTTCATGAAGTAAAACCAATTCATTAACTTCAGAAAAGGCTGTATTCAGAAAAGAGGATTAAATAAAATTAAACCATTTGACGTAGGTTAGGGAATGTGTCTTTGAGACTCTCACTTTATATTGTGAACTCGCCAAGTGTTTGCTCTTTAGCAATCAGGACAAGGCCTATTAGAGCATATTATTTTCTGTCTTTATGACCTATACTAACCTTGGTGCAGAAATAGCACTTTTTTGAGTCTTCCATATAATATCATCATATAACATGTTTACTAAGCAATTTAGATTTTTCATCATAAGATTACATAGCAAACGACTGTAATCCCAGCACTTTGGGACGCCGAGGTGGGCAGTTCACGAGGTCAGGAGATTGAGATCATCCTGGCTAACACAGTGAAACCCCGTCGCTACTAAAAATACAAAAAATAATTAGCCAGGCGAGGTGGCAGGCGCCTGTAGTCCCAGCTACTCAGGAGGCTGAGGCAGGAGAATGGCGTAACCTGGGAGGTGGAGCTTGCAGTGAGCTGAAATCACGCCACTGCACTCAAGCCTGGGCAACAGAGCGGACTCCGTCTCAAAAAAAAAAAAAAAAAGAAAGAAAGAAAGATAGATTACATAGCAAAGAGAAAGGAGGTGTTTTTTGTTTGTTTGTTTGTTTGTTTTAATATAGCCCTCTCTACAGCAGATAAATTCCAAAATTAGTAGTAGTTATTTATCTTTTCCAAAATCCCTTCATGGTCATACAGCGTCTAAGACAGGCTTTGCTCTGCTGTACTTTAAAAATAAGTTGAACTCAACTGGGCATTGTGGCACATGCCTGTAGTCACAGCCACTTGGGAGGCTGAGGTGGGAGGACTGCTTGAGCCCAGGCAGTTTGAAGCTGCAGTGAGCTGTGATTATGCCACCGCACTCCAGCCTGGGCAACAGAGTGAGATCCTATCTCTAAAAAGAAATACTTTTTAAAAATAAGTTTAACTCTGCTCTTGTTTCTTATAATGCATATCCAAAGGCTCATATTGTTGGTCAGCAAAACCAAATAATCATATAAACAACAGTGTCCACATGTTTTAGAAAGCACATTTTTAATAATGTTTAGTGGTGCGTATTCTCTGTGTCTTCACCTCCAAAATACTGAACTTATTGAATATTTGTTCTAAACACAAAATGGCTAGGTGTGCTGGCTCACACCTGTAATCCCAGCAATTTAGGAAGCTGAGGCAGGAGGATTCCTTGAGCTCAGCAGTTCAAAAGTAGCCTGTGCAACATAGGGAGACTTTGTCTCTTAAAAAAAAAAAGAAAAGAAAGAAAGAAAGAAAAAAAACCATATCTAAGCATGTGGCACATGCATTTGGTCCCAGCCACTTGGGAGGCTGTAGTGGAGGATCGTTTGATCCCATGAGGCCGAGGCTGCAATGAGCTGTGCTGAGGCTGCAATGAGCTGTGATCATGCCACTGCACAACCTGGATTGCACAGCCTGGGCAAGAAGAGCAAAATCCTGTCTCAAAAACAAATAAATTAAACAAATAAATAAATACAATATTTCTATACTCAAGGGAAATTCTGACGAATGATTTCCTTCCTTTTTTATAGGTCAGAATGTAAAGTGTGTGGTAGATGAAAGAGAGTGTGATAGGAGGGACACATAGGGGCTTGCATGGGAGGAAAGACTACCCAGATCTGGAAATAAAAAGTGAAGATTTCAGAGGGTTGAAAACAGGAAGTGGAACCATTATTTTAACTACAGGTGGGAGAAGCATATCTAAACACTAGAAAGCCAATATTATGGGAAAAATTATCCTTGAATAGTTCAATTCTGGATATAAGGAGGAAACAAAATTTAGATGTATGGGTGTCAGCAAGGCTGTGAAAGGAATGAAAAATGAGAGCTTGCAAAACCTTATGAGATAAAATTATGAAAATCTAGAAATATAATCCTGTGTCTGATTACATTTTTTTAAAATTACTTTTCTCTCTATCTCTATATGTATGTATATAATCAAAGAAAATATGTGTAAAATCTGTTATGAAAGAGTATACAGCCCATTTTGTACCACAAAATAGAAATTTAATTACCAAAGTTTGTATAGACTGTCAAACATATTTGTTGAGATACAATTAGATACAATATTATAGTCAGTTGTATTAGTATGTATGTTTATTTTGTGTAAAAATATCATTCTTCGGAAAGCAAATTGCAACTAAAGTATCTAACAAGAGACTCAATCTCATTACTTCATAGATTTTATTATACTTTCTCATTATGCAATGAGCTGTCTTGTTATTATTTCTTCCTCAGAGGATCATTAAACATTTACATATATATTTTAATAGCCTGCAGTTTCGATTAGATGGAGGACATTGGCATTATAATTTTGTGAACAGATCACTGTCCTCTGAGCTGGTTTATGTTTGTTTACTGATCTTCCAGCAGATGGTGCCCTTGCAACAGATATTCTTGTTTTTTGTTTTGTTTTTTCATGATTGGGGTAAAAGATGCATCACTACTTTCTCTTTTGTGGTGGTATAATTAATAAAGATATATTTTATGAACATATTGTACCCCTTCTACATTTTTCTCAGTATTTCAGAAACAGCAAGACTGCCTAGGAATATGAATAGATATTATTGCTTGCTTTTCCTGTCTTCCTCCTCCCGAAGAGTTACAGTCATTTGCTCTTCTCACACTCCAAACAGTAGACTGTTTACATTCTATAGTCAAGTATTTTCTGTTACCAGGATTCTGGAGACAGATAGCCCATGGCTTAAAACAGTCCTTAAGCAATCTTTTACCAAATCCTGTGACTTTTCTGTAGAACATTCCTCTGTTATTTTAGCTCCCCATTTGACTCTGGCAGACAGTTCACCTTTTCTATTTCACTGTGCAGTATTGCAGGGGTTATATTACTTCCTTCGTTTGCTTATTTTTTCAGTTGGCTATGTTATTCTGGAAATTGTAACTAATTTGGAGGCATTATCTTACAATTGTTTTTGTAAGGCCAATAGAAATGCAATATAACATTTGCAGCCAGTAAGGCTTAATAAATTAAACATGCTGCTTATAGTTTTAAATCATTTTTTATTCATGTCCAGATGCTAACTTTCTCTTAATACTTGAATTTGTGTAATCATTCTTACCCTCAATATAGTCTCTATAATTAAAATGGTCTCCTCACGGCTTTCACAATATGCATCCTCCTTCCTATCGTTCTAAACTCCTAAACCAACCTTGTCCTTGACGCATTTCCCTTCCTATTCCCCTTCACATGTTAACCAATCAGTTAATTAATCTGTTAATTAATTGTTACATGTTTTCATTCAACATATATTGAATTAGGCCAGTGTTTAGAGTAATGTTTTCTACAAAAAATAAAATATGGTTCAGAAAATTTTGCTTTCTCAGTGATGTTTTACTGATCAAAATCCTCCCATCTATCACTGCCAATAAAACTCATTTAACACGAACACATTTTTTTAAAGTGACAAAGAACAAAACAATATTACATTATGTGCTTTATGATGATTCAAAGGCAAATTGCAGGACACAGCTTAAAAGGGGAAAATAAAGTTTTTAGAAGAGTAAATTGGAGAATCTTTTATAACAGAAACATGATTTTTCTATTGAATTTCAAACTGGAAAATGACAAATTTTTTTTCAATTGTAACACCAAATTTTCTCTTGACTTCATATTCTGTTGTGTCATAGATGAATGATAATATGTTCTAAGATATGGTCCAAATATACCTCATTGATAAAATTTTGAAGTATAAAATTAGAATGATTATTATGAAAATAATGTACAGTAATAAAAATTAAAATTTAAAATGTTAAGTAATATATTGACACAAATTTTAAAAAATTAAATACAAAATATAAGAAAGAATGAAAAAATCACTTGAATAAAACCTATCTCCCTATTCCTAGTGTATTATTTTCCTTGGGCTTCCATAACAAAGTACTATAAACTGGGTGGACTAAAACTACAGAGATTAGTTCTCTATAGTTCTAGAGGTTAAAAGTCTTGATTCTAGAAGAACCAAGTTTTTGGCAGAGCCATTTTCCCTCAGAAACCTGTAAAGGAAGATTCTTTTTAGCCTATCCAGCTTCTGCGAGCCCCAGGCATTCCTTGGCTATGGCAGCAATGCTCCAACCTCTGCCACAGTTGTTATATAACTATTTTCTCCCTGTGTGCCCTCATATCTCTCTTGTATCTGGCTTTTCACTGGACTTTCTCCTCTCTTATAAGGACATCAGATATACTAATTTAAAGGTCTAACCTAGCTCAGTATGACTTCATCTTAACTAGCTATACCTATAATGACACAATTTTTAATCAAGGTCATGTTCTGGGCTACTGTGAGTCCTGACTTCAATGTATCATTTTGCAGGGCATAGAACAATCTATAACACTTGGATATAAATGTAATAAAAATTATGTATTTACATCAAGACTTTTCAAATAAAATTGTTGATCTTTTTGTATGAAAAGTTTATATAAGTAGTGGATGAATTTTGGCAGTATTCTGGTTAAATACACAAACGACCAAATGCCGACTGGGCACGGTGGCTCAAGCCTGTAATCCCAGCACTTTGGGAGGCCGAGGTGGGCAGATCACAAGGTCAGGAGAACGAGACCATCCTGCCCAACATGGTGAAACCCCATCTATACTAAAAATACAAAAATTAGCTAGGTGTGGTGGCGCATGCCTGTAATCCCAGCTACTCGGGAGGCTGAGGCATGAGAATCACTTGAACCCAGCAGATGGAGGTTGCAGTGAGCCGAGATTGCGCCACTGCACTCCAGCCTGGCAACAGAGTGAGACTCCATCTCAAAAACAGCAACAACAAAAAATACCTTTTGAGAACTTGTTATGTGCAGGAGCTTTATGTTAGCCTACACACATTTATCACACCCAACCAGTGCAATAGCTATTATATATGTTTTACACAGCAGAAAACACTCAAGCTTACAGAGAAGTAAAGTCTTCACAGCTGTTAATTCCAACATCATTCTCCATAATACCAGTAGTCCTCACAACTCAATGTATGTAAAAATCACCTGAGTACACACGTTAAAAATGTAGATTTCTAGTCAAGATAACCCAAAAACTCTAAATCAGTAGATTGAAAGTAGGAAAAAGCTAGGCATACTTATTTTTAAAACAAATCCTAGTTGACTGATGCGGATGATCTCTTTTTAAATTAAACGACACATCTCAGGTAAACAAGACTCATAAGACATATTACTATTGTCCTAATGCAATTCTGAATTATATAAAATCCACACACAGAAGCTAGGTAACCATGAAGGGATTAGGTGATTTACGTTTCAAAATAATTGTTTCAGGGGTTGAGAGTAGGCAAAATAAAAGATGGCTGGGACCATTATTGAAAGTTTCACCAACTTTATCCGAAATATGGATGTGATGTGCTTAGTTAAGAGGACAGTAATGTATAAACACCTGCTGTGGAGCTTAAGCATAACACATGTAGGGTTAAGTGAACATATGGTGCCTTAAGACTTAAGCAGAAGTATTATGGCATGCAGATAAGATTAAATAGTAAAGGCTCATTCAGAGTTTTGCAGATTCTGAATGTCAGTCTAGGGAAAGTTTTAACAAGTAGTTACCCAAGTTATAAGATGAAGTGAGGGCTTTAGAATTTTAGTAAGTAAGAAACTGGAGAATGATTTATAAGGAATAGAGAATGAAAAAAATACCAGTCAGGTATGCATCTGTTAGAGAAATAAGTTATAAAAGGAAGGAGGGAAGGAAGGAAGGAAGGAAGGAAGGAAAGAAGGAAGGCAGGAAGGAAGGAAGGAAGGAAATCAGGAAGGAAGGAAGGAAGGAGAATTAAATTATTGGGACAATAAGCAGAAATTTTTCACTACATACAATCAAAAAATGAAGGAAGAAAGCCTACAAGGAATGAAGCATAAGTATAAATTAACAAAAATAATAACATTAATAATTTACTGTATGGATTAGTTATTATAATATGTTACATGATTTAGTTCTGAAAAGATAATGTACTTGAAGAAACGGAATTCTATAAATAAAAAGTGATTTTGAAAAGGATTATAAACTATTGTAACTTAGAAGGAACAAGTTCACAGGGCATATGAATGAAAATATTTCAGAAAGTATAAATAATATAAAAGTTCTAACAACTTTTGATTCTGTAACAAATTTTATATCATTACAGTGACAAATATTACTATGAGTGGGATTCTTCTCATTTTTCCCTATGAAGTAGGTGAACTGTGGAAAATAGCTTTTCAACTGAAGTTAAAATATCTTGAAGAAAATTCCAGCTCTGTAATTTAATGGCTTTATTACTTTCATGTAATCATAAAATTATATTTGCCTCACTTCTTTGTATATCTATGATAATAATATTCATTTTTGGTGATAATCCAATGAGATGATGCATATGAAAATGCTTTTATAGCCAAGTTATGAAAAGTACTAGACACTATAATTATTATTATTGACATTATTTTTCACTCTGCTTAACTTTTTAAAATATGTATTGTAAAAGTTAGAGAAATGTAGATGACAAATATTAACCAAAACCAGAAAAAAAATTGTAGCTTAAATGCTACTTGAAAGTAGATATGCAGTACTGTAAAGCCTGGTGATTGACATATTAAAATCTCTTAAGATGTTTTATTTATTTGCCAACAGATATGTGGATCTAAGCTTTAGTTATGCATTAATCTAAAATAATTCACCTGATTTTTAAAGGAATTAGCTCTTGAGATTGCATGCATTGTGAAATTAGAAATTAGAGTGATTAAAATTATTTATATATTATGGAAAGGATATTAGGGTTATATATTTTAAATGTATAACCATATTTTATTAAAGTACCTATTTCACTGCTACCTCTTTTATGTAATATTTGATTCAGTTTTTGGGAATACTAATTTGATACACTATTTGCTGTGCTCTGAATGTTTTGGTTCTCCCAAAATTCATATTTGATATCTAATCCTCAGTGGAATAGTGTTAAGAGGTGAGGCCTTTGGGAGGTGATCAGGTCATGAGGTAGGTGGGATAAGTGCCTTATAAAAGAGGCCCACCCAAGGGAACTTGTTTGCCCCTTCTACCATGTGAAGATACAGCAAGAAGGTACCATCTGTGAGGAAGAGAGTGAGCCTTCACCAGACATTGAATCTGCTGGCACCTTGACCTTTGCCTTTCCAGCCTCCAGAAGTGTGAACAATTAATCTCTGTAGTTTGTAAATTATCCAATCCAAGGTATTTTGTTAAAGCAGCCTGAATAATCTAAGAAAGAAATTGCTACCAGAAGTGAGGCTGATGCTGGAACAAATACCTAAAAATATGGAAGGGACTTTGAAACTGGGTAATGGATAGACTTTGGAAGTACATGCTAGGAAAAAGCCCACATTGCCATAAATGGGGGAGCATTAGGAGTAATTCTGGTGAGGGCTCAGAAGAAGAGAAAAGTTAGAGAGAAAGCCTCAGTCTTCTTAGATGTTTTCTAAGATAGCGTGAATAGAATGTTGATAGAAATATGGACAGTATTTCCATTCTGATGAAGCTCAGATAAAAAGTAAGGAGCAAGTTATTGAAAACTGGAGGAAAGGTAATCCTTGTTATAAAGTGGCAAAGAACTAGGCTGAATTGTGCTCGTGTCCTAGTGTTTTGTGGAAGGTGAAACTTGTGAGAGGTGAAATGGGATATTTGACAAAAGAATTTCTAAGCAAAATGTTGAAGGAGCAGCTTGGCTTCGCTTGACTACTTATAATAAAATACCAGACGAGAGAAAAAAATGTAAACATGAAATTGATAAAAAGGAAGCAGAATTGAAAGATTTGGAAAAACCACAGTCTCCCCATGTTGCAAAGAATGAGAAAGGCTGTTTACAAGATTACACCAAGGGCATGGACAAGCAGTCCTTCCTATGGATGAAGACAGGTGCTATTCATCAAGACAATGGAGGAATGACCTCAAACTCATTTTGGAGAGCATCAGGTCTGTCACTTCTATCATAGGTCTAGAATTCCAAGGCCTGGGGGACAGAAAAATATCAAGAGAGACCTGAGGCCCCTACTGGCCTCCACACTCTCCTCCCTTTCCTGTACCACCACAAATCTCTGCTCCCTGCTTTCTGGCACACCAATATTCAACTGTCCCACGTGTGGTTCCAGTGGTCCCAGGCACAGTGGTGACACGAAGTCTATGGCTCTCCTTGGCTGGAATTTAACACAGGTGAGGGTCTTGAGGGTAGACCTGCTCCCAAACCTCCACTAGACATTTCCCTAGTGGGAGTTCTCTAAAGTGGCCCTGCCCCTGTGGCAGCTCTCTGCCTGGGCCCTGAGGCTGTCTGGGACATTTTTTGAAATCTAAGTGGAGGCAGCCATGCACCCACAGCTCTGCACTCTGTGCACTAGTGGAGATGGCATGGTGCAGTTGCCACCAACGTTTACTGCCTGCAGCCTGTAGAAGAGTGGCTCTGAATAGAGTGTTTTCTAATTAGCTCTATCCATTCATTACTTTTTCCTAGTTTTAGTTACACACTCTAATTCATTTATAGAAATTTTGACCTGATGTAGTTCCTAGTTCCTGAATTTAAAGTTCAATGGTCACCAGCACTTTCTTAGGATTTGTAAATAAACATCAGCAGATCATAATGCTCACTTTGTTATCCTCTGGGTAGCGACTGAGAAGGGAGAAGCAAATACAAATTTATGTATTCTGTTTTCCCGAGCTGGGCTATTGTATCTTAATTTTTTGCCCTATTCTTTGATGAGACATCATTATATAATGTCTAAGCTATCTGCCTTGGCTTTGAGTTTCTTTCTATTGAAAATAATTTCTGGGGTCATTTCCTCATACTTGGGCATTTGATATTTTATCTTTTTTCTGTTATATTCTGTCATTTGTCATTTGTTAAAGTTTCCAACAATATCAAAGTTATCTTCTTTAGACTTGGGCTTTTTCTTTTAGATTTCAAGACCTTTTTAGGGAGGCTTATTAAATCTAAATTGAGTTTGGGTCTGAATATTTAACTTCTTAATATAAACTGTGGGTGTGTTGTTTGATAGTCCTTCTAAATTAGATTTCTTCATCTTGGATATTGCTTTCATTTTAGAGAATATTTTTTAGAGCACAAATTCATCCTCTTACTAATTTAATTGGAATGCCTATATAATTGCATTCTATCCTTGTGGAAGTGTGAAAAATTGATACAAGTGTATTGCTAAAGTCACAGAACAGACTCACTGAGAAAATTGAAATAAATTAATCTCATGGTTTATCGAATTTATTGCAAACACACCGTAAGAATCAAGGGGAAAGAGAAGAAGGTAGGGTTACACACTTAGGATAGCATGCAAGCAGAGTAGAATGACCAAGCTACTTGAGTCTTGTTTTATGCAATGTACATATATCCTATCTCTTTCTGCTTCATCAGGTTTTCCTACTGATGGCAGGGATACAAGAACCAGAGTTAAGGTATAAAAAAAGGAAGTCAGCAGATAGAGGGGCCTGTAACCATAACACTCTTGTTCTTTTGAAGACACTCAGGAAGGTGCATGCCTGTAGCTGAGCCTTACGAATTGGCCAGATAAACAGTTACGGGTACTATATGGCAAAGGACAAACGAATGACGATGGGGCATCACTAATGGGTGGCTGGTTAAAAACTCCGTGATACTGAATGACTCATGTGGCTTGCATATTTACTGTATCATGAATATTTAATGTTTTATGTGCATAATTTGGGGTATCAAAGTTCCTCATATACTTAATGAATATCCCGATGACTTCTTAGTCCTTCCATCCTTCTTTTTTATGTTGACAACTAAAATTTATTTCATAATTTATGTGTAACTTTTCTCACAAGCTACTTGTCTGTATAGTTAGATTCATCCAACTGTCATATGTTTTGTTTCTTTTTTGTTTCATATATATGTTCTAGTTATTTTTAATGATAGAATTGAATACTATTAAATGTATACTGGATACATTTCACTACAACCTGCAGACTCTGCTCTTCTATTTCTATGTATGTATACAATGACAATCCCTACATAAGCCATCAATAGCAGTATTAGTCATAATAACCCAGAAGGGGAAAGAACCTGAAGGTCTGTGAAAAACAGAATGAATAAATTGCAGTGAAAACAAATGCATCATGGTTGCTTTCAACCACCAGGTTAAACTGCACAAACATAATGTTGAATGGATGAAACCACTAAACAAAATTAAAATTTGTGATTCCGTTTATATAAATGTCAGAAAGAGGAAAATCTAATTTACGGCACAGTGAGTTTGGCTAGTGTTTACTTTTGTAGGGGATTAGTGTCTAGAAGGAGGGAAACAAAGGGATATCTGGAATTCTGTGAATATTCTTTTTCTTGATCTGGGTATTGGCTTTGTGAGTATTTGGTTTGTAAGGAAAAAAAGACTACACACTTTTTTTACAGTTCTGATATTGCCTATATAATAAAATAAAATGCAAAATAAACATAATAAACAACATATGAAATATAATTAGTATGATTTTATTTCAAGAAAATATAGAGGGAAAAGACTGGAAGAAGACTGAACAAAACAAAAATTGACAAATGGTATCTAATTACACTAAAGCCTTTCTGCACAGCAAAAGAAACTATCAATGAAGTAAACACGCAACATACAGGATGGGAGAATATATTTCCAAACTATAGATTTTACAAAGGTTCAATATGCAGCATCCATAAGGAATTTAAACCAATTTACAAGAAAAAAAAAATTAAAAAGTGGGCAAATGAAAGCAACAGACACTTTTCAAAAGAAGACATACATATGGCCAACAGGCATATGAAAAAACGCTCAATATTAATAATTGTTAGAGGAATGCAAATCTAAACCACAGTAAGATGCCATCTCACACCATTTAGAATGGTTATTACTGAAAAGTCAAAACAAACAAACAAACAGATGTTAGTGAGACTGCAGAGAAAGGTAACATTTATACAATATTGGTGGGAGTATAAATTAGCTCAACCATTGTGGAAGGCAATGTGGTGATTCCTCAAAGAGCTAAAAACAGAACTACCATTCAAGCCAGCTATCCAATTACTGGGTAATACCCAGTAAGGAATATCAATTACCCTCTCATAGAATATCAATTATTCTATCATAGAGAAACATGCATGTGTGTGCTCACTGCATCACTGTTCACAATAGCAAAGACATGGAATCAACATAAATGCCCATAAATGGCAGACTGATCAAAGAAAATGTGGTACATATACACCATTGAATACTATGAATCCATAATAACAAACAAGATCATGTCTTTTGCAAGAACATGCATGGAGCTAGAGGACATTATCCTTAGCAAAGTAACACAGGAACAGGAAACCAAATACTGCATATTCTCATTTGTAAGTGGGAGCTCAATGATGAAACACATCGACACACAGAGGGCAACAACAAACACTGGGGCCTACCAGGTTGGAGGGTGGGAGTGGGAGAGAAGCAGAAAGAATAGCTATTGAGTACTAGGCTTGGTATCTGAGTAATTAAATGATCTGTACAACAGACTCCCATGACACAATTTTACCTATATAAAATCCAGCATATGTACCCTTGAACCTAAAAGTTTAAAAATAAATAAAATAAAATAAAGATAAAGTTAGAGGTTGAAAGGCCACAATTTTTTCAAATAATAAGGGCTCACTATTCAGATTATTAGCACTCTGGGAAATAAGGCCAGTAGGCATTTCAAAATTAAAATTTGAGGAAAAATGTTTGAAGTTTAATAAAAGATGTCACTGGAAAAAAATTTTCATATCAAAAAATAAAAATTTACCTATGATGCTTAATGGTTAAAATGCAGAAAAACACAATACTTACTTCCATAAATGATGCAAACGTTCCCTACAAATTGAAAACTTTACAATGGTAATAAATATTAGATATGAGTGGAATCAAATTTCCAAAAATATTTTGTAAAGAACAAAGAATTATACATACCATTATGTCTTTTAAGATTTTGTTAATATTTGTAATAATTTAGCAAATTTGTCTTATTATAAGCTAATCACACACATATACAAGTCAATTTTAGCCACTTCTTTTTTACCAGCAGCAGAGAGATATTAGATCATAGCCACACTCACACGTAATTGAAGCTTGGAATTATACCCTTTTTTAAAAAATTTATTTCATGCTGAGAAGTATGGACAAAAAGAAAATGCTAATTTTTTAAAACAAGTAGAGAATAGTTCCTTGGGAATAACCTTCTGTCTCTGCCTCTCCCATATTTTATTTAAAAAGCAGTGGTTTATAAGATGTTATTATATATACTGCAAGAAAAAAGTTGTTGCACAGTCAAATGCCTTAAATATTGGTTTATTCAAAAGTAAATACTTTGCTTACTGTATAAGTTACCATCATGTGTAACATGGTGACTTAATTTTCCAAAAGGAAATTGATATATATAACGATTCCCCAAAACTGTTTTATTGGTGAGGTAGAGTCACTTAAGATTGACAAACTTTGTATTTCCTATTGAAGTCAATAGATATTATTTTATAATGTAAAAAGATTAGAAATCCCTAGTAATTGGAGAAATCTCATTTTAAATGCATAAAAAAAGAGTGATAAAATGAGCAGGGTAGAGCTCAGGTAGTGTAAGAGATCAAAATGAACAATAGTAAAGAACTACAGGCTATAAGGTATTTATGTTGTTCCAATAAAATACTGAATGTATATTTAACCATCTACCATCCTTGTTGAATGCCAGGGATGGTGTTTTTGTCAAGATAAATTTGAAAAAAAAAATCTTGGAAATTCGGGTTTTGTAACTGATAGTAGATGAAAGACTTCTTGAAGTATCTTCAGGTTTGGATCCTTTGTACTGGAATTCTTAGAGCATTTGAAAAGAAAATGTAAAAGATTACCTCAAATTTTTTCTTAGAATGTTGCAAGGACATGGGTGAAGCCGGAAGCCATTATCCTCAGCAAACTAAAGCAGGAACAGAAAACCAAACACTGCATGTTCTCACTTATAAGTGGGAGCTGAACAATGAGAACACATGGACACAGGGAGGGTAACAACACACTGGGTCCTGTCGAGGGACGGCAGGTGATGGTGGGGGGAGCATTAGGGAAAATAGCTTATGCATGCTGGGGTTAATAGCTAGGTGATGGGTTGACAGGTGCAGCAAACCACCATGGCACAGGTTTACCGATGTAACAAAACTGCACATCCTGCACATGTAACCCAGAACTTAAAATAATAATAATAATAATTTTTTAAAAATTGTCTGGGATACTTTTTGGTATTAGCCCCAGTGTTATAACCTCATCACTCTCTGAGCTCTTTCACACGATTTATTTAATTCACAACTTCTAAGAAAATATAATACGTTAGTCTGACTTCTTGGACTCAGAATTGTACACTATAAACATTGTAAGTCCATAGGTAATAGCTATTTTTAATACTTTCCTCAAAAATGACTAGTTTAAATAAATGAAAGCATTATTCCTCATAATTGTCAACAAGAGAAGCATTATTTGTTAAGGTTCTAATGTGATTTTAAAAATTGGTTGAATAGAGTTTAATTAGTTTGCTTATTATTGTAATAATCATTCAATACACTATTGCATATATTCTTTGACATGCTCAAATTTTCACTATAATTATGGTTGATTAGACTAATTCATATCTGTTGTATTATAAATAAACACATTTAGGAAATTCAGATTTTGATAATTTACTGTAAAGAATAATATCAAGATAACTAAGTGACACTGGTAGAATTACTCTTTTGCATCACAAAGAAGTATTTAATTAACATAATTAATTCTAATTAGTATTGGTGTAAACATTTACACATGTGGTTTTATTTCACCTGTGTTCTATATATTTATACATCTGTGTTAGTCTTATTGAGTTAATAAATATTCAAATATTGATGGCATGGGATTTGAAGATGGTTAGCCAATCTCTACTTGTTACAACTAACAATCAGATGGGGGAGTAGGAACAGGAAAATTAATTCACCTGAATAAATAATTATAAAATAAGGTAAGATATAGTAATGGAGAAGAATGATTCAAAGCCAGGCACTGTCTCTTATTATTTGCAGAACTTTAATATTATGAAAGTTACCCTTATTTTACTTTATACTGTGGATGATGCCTGGTATATATAAAGCTCCAGGAGACAATGTTAGCCATTATTGATACCATATTGAAGCTAAATAATACTATGGGTGTTCAGTGAAACATTTGGTTATCAGAAAAGGTATTGGGAGCAGATAGTGAATGCAGAATAAGAATTGGTGGGTGAAGCATGAACTGTCAATGTGAGAAAAACGCATTTAATTATGGAAGGAATGGGGTAATTTGAGATTTTTGTTTGCTTTTATATAATTTCAAATAAGGAAAGTGTTTGTGTCGGGTTTAAGTTTTAAGAATTTAAATTGGATGCTGGTTTTCATGGATTAGGGAAGAAAGACAGAAAATATGAAATGACCACACACTGCAATTTCTGAATTAGATTAGGTGAAAAGCTATGTATCTGATGATAATGAAGAAAAAGAGGATAGCTGGAGAAATATTGTGAAAAGAAAAATTTACTACATGAGGTTGGCCCTCTGCAAATAAAAAAACCTTAAATTAATCTTCTCAGATAAGAAAAAAACTATGTAAATTATAACATTCTTACTGAAGCCAATCTACCTATTGTAAAAGTATTTGTATGCTACAGATATGAGCAATGCCCATCAAGAGGAGCCTAGGACACAGCCAAGACTGCAAATGTGGGTAGCTTCTACCTACTTTCATTTCATTACATTTTTAGGCTATAGATTATGCTCAATTTTTAAGCCAAAAATTATGAAATATTCTCATTGAGTACAGGAATATTATATTATGTTAAGCATCTCTAAAGATTCTAAAGAATTTGGCTAATTTCGATTGAGCTTTCAATAATGGGCATGCTTTTTTAAAAAATCTAATATTCAAATTAGACATTTAATTGAATGTCAAGACAGATGCACTGAACTTTCTAATAAGTTGGCTCTTGATTTCAAATTTATCATCTTTTTTCTCTTAAATATTCTTCTCTGTATAAGCAAAGATTACCTTTGTTGTAATTATATTAAAAAAATCAGTGAAAGCAGCACTTTAAAAAAATAATAAAATAAAAAGTCCAGGTTTGTTTGGTTTGGTTGGTTTTTTGCCCTTGGCATCTGTCTTCACATGAGTCACATATTTTTGATTCTTTTCATCATTTAATAGTAAATAAACATGGATATCTGGATATTGTATGAAACAAGGACAAAACTACAATGCAGAGTTCAAAAGTATCCTCAGAATTATATTTTCACTTTATCCTGTTTGTCTCTTATTCTGATATCCTGCTTACTTAGTTACCATTTCTAAAAATCCATATATTCATTTATGGAGATGGGAACATATCTCATTTACTGTTGTATTGTCAGAGCCTACCACACTCATTTACTATTGTATTGTCAGAGTCTACCACAGTACTTTATATGTGGTAAAAGTCCAATAAATATTGGATAAATATAATCATAATTAGTTAATAAGGGAAAACAGTTGCCAAGAGAATATTATTTACTTTCTATTTCAAAGGACAGGTAGTATAAAGAAAATTAAAATGAGATTCATCTAGAGTGTGTTACAGGTAAAAGCTGTTCAATTAATTAAGAACTTTAATAACTTCCAGTTTATGGTGCTATAACAATTTCTGGTATCTAGAAGAATAGACTCATCTGTTTTTATCATTGAAACAAACAAACACAAAAATAAAAATGAAGAATGTATAGCTATCTTGCCCACCATTCTCTTTAAATGTGAATATGCTGAGATCAATAATGACTGAGATTAGTTGCTTCTGTATTTTATTTTTGAATACTTAGTTTAATTTTGTTTTAAAATTAATAAATCACAAAATTAAAATGAACAAGTTCATTTAACTGTCTTCCCAGGTAGTTATTATTATTATTACGTTTTAGTTATATGTTTAAAAGAGGAGATATTTAATATGTCAGCCTAATTGGAAAAATGTGTCTTTGGCATAGGTGATTTTCAGAACAAAAGCTCATCTTTACAAGAGCTTTGTCCTCTGCTTTGATCTTAAAAAACAGAACCTGGGTGGAGAGTGACAGAGCAGAAACATCAGATCTGTCACTGAGAAACCAATTTTCTGAGAAAGACTGGAATCGATGTAAAAATGCAATCCGTTTTCAAAGTTGGAGCCAGAGCAATCGTACTTTTCTTAAGAAGTAGAGTTCTGCTT